>NC_000004.12:133769865-134072896 GCF_000001405.40 Homo sapiens | reverse complement strand
TTCTTGTGATAGTGAGTGAGTTCTCATGAAATCTGTTGGTTTATAAGAGCCCATTTCCCCCTTGTGCTCGTCAGCTATCTCTTCTGCTACCATGTGAAAAAGGATGTGTTTGCTTCCCCTTTCACCATGATAGTAAGTCTCCTGAGGCCTCCCCAGCCATGTGGAACTATGAGTTAATTAAGCCTCTTTCCTTTATAAATTACCCAGTCTTGGGTATTTTTTCATACCCAAGTCCAGTGTAAGAATGGACTAATACAAAGGCTAACCAAGATATATGGGTGTCTGCTGAGAAAATCTATGAGAACCATATACATTCTTTAAACCTCTGTTCCTAAACTCTTGCTTTTAGAAATGTCACTTCCCTACTTGCAGGTTGTTATAAAATGTAGAGAAAACACACCTACAATTCTAAAGAAGTAAAACAAAATTAAAATTGACAAGGTATCCCTATGGAGTCACATTTTATGCCCTAAAGGAACTTATAAAATGGTGTGAACACTTAGTCTACTGCTAGTTCTAGGTTTAACAGCTTGCACAGGACTAACTGAAAGGCTCAGAAAGAGGGCTATCATGTGACTCATTGTTGACAGACTCACATCAACTCTGGGGCCAGGAAACATTCATTCATAAATTGAGAGAATCACATCTTTATGGAGAGAACTGGAACTAAAAGGGATAACACTGTGGTATTATGGGACAATGCATTTGATAGGGAGAAAAAGGAAGCTGAAGGCATTTTGTGATTTATGTCATTGGTTGTTTTATACTCATTTCAGGCAAAAAGAAATCACATTTTTTTTTTCAGAGAGAAATGACATCCTAATTTTGCAGGCCCTAGAACAATGTTCTATTGAATTATGCTTATATTAATTTGTCCATGATGTCATGTATTCTTTTGTCAGTATGCTAAATTCTCACACCCATTTGTCCATTCAACATTCTTATCTATACAACTAAAACCTAAAGTCTAAAGGAACCCCTCTTTCCACTTTTTCTATACTCCTGTCTGGATTGCTGAGGATTACTAAAGACAAACAGGCAACTATAAAGTTATCTTCATTATTCTTAACAGGGATCATTAAATGCTTAGAATTTCTACAAGATTTTTCTAAATTGTTTCACTTCCTGGTTCTCTAAACTGAGTATTTTAAATTATTTACTGTATTAAAATGTCTAACCCAATCACCTTGCCCATATTTTTTGTGCATTACTGTGTTTCTTAATTTACAGAGAAAACAACAGTCTCCTTTTTCAAACTACCTCAGCCTCATGCCTAAAGTCACTCCCCACTATTTCATTTAAATTATCTTCAATATTGTTATAACAGTTTGCCTCAAAAGGCATAGGGTGGTGTGAGAGGTACAATGATCACTCATAGAAATCTATTAGTAGAGGAATGAAAACACCAAAGAATTTTAATAACTTGTGTTTGGATATTGATCAAAGTTCTCAATCGGTTCTAGGGCCAATTAGCATAACTTGTCAAAACAAGTGTTTCAGTGATTCAAGATGTCTGATAAGATGCAGCTAGAAGGAACATCTACCACCAAGAGACTGGTACATAAGGAAGACTGGCACACTCAGAGTGTATCTTCAGAGGAAGGCACTGAGAGTGGACAGAGGGAGGACACAGATGATGGGCAGAATGAGGAGGAAGCTGGGAACCCTGCATGGCACTACTGCACACAGGGACTTTCCTGACTCCCACTGACTCCTCAGGAAGCCATGAGCTGAACAGGAGTTGAGCAACGTGCTCTTGCCATGGACCTCCAGAATCCTGGCAGCAGGAGACCTTATGACCTCCACAAACACTTCAGCTATCAGGGAGAACTGCTTAGAGAGGTGGCAGGAACAGTACTCCAGCCTGTCTGAAGCCCTCAGGGTTTGGTATGGGAACATCTGCAGTGGAGCATGTCCAGTAATGCCCATTTCCCAAGGCTCGCCATGCTCCTCTAGGAGACTTTAGCCATATGGAGAATGTCGGACCTGGAGAGAGCAGAGTAGTCTTGTCCATGAGACAAGGCCAGTCTGATCTGTGTTCTCTCTTTTCTGCTGGCCTCCCCTGGGGCACAAGTCTGGCCACCTTGTTGCAGTGAAGCTGCAGCTGCCCAACTGGGATGCTACCCTGGGGCCCTCATGGTAGCTCTTTTGCCAGCAGACTGCACCTGACCATGGGAGAGCTCTAAGTGACCTCCACCAACATGTACCAGTTCACCTGCACATTTTGCTGGCCCACAGTGACCCACAGCCACACCCCCACTGCTTTGCCAGTGTCTGGGTGGGCAGACCACACCTCCCCTCCTCCAGCGGCATGTGAGTGCATGCACACCCACTGGGACACTGCAGCTGGCATGAGCGTACCTCACCCTCCACCCCACTATGCCACCATTGCTGTTGCACTGACAACCCCATGCCCCGCTGTGCCATCACCACAACTGCCTTAATCTGACACAAGGAGGCCAACAGCCTTGCACAGGCCAGTTCACCACCCCTGCTGCTGGTATGAAGGCCTGCAAAAATGTGTCAGCCCAGCCCCCACTGCTACCTCACCACAGCCGATGCACATGCACCCCACCACACTGCCGCTGCTGCTGGCACTTGTGAACAAGCTTGAATCCTGCTGCCACTGTCTTAAAGAACCACTCTGGCTGGCACCACTCATCAGAGTGCTGTGGTCAGTGGTACGGGAGCACCTAGGCCCCACCAATGCAGCACGTTCCTAAGCTCACAAGGGTCCAGAAAACAAAGCTGGGGACCAACATGAAACCACACAGCACACATTCCTGGAGGGCTGAGCTGAGCCTTGGCCCCCTAAAAATGTCTGGAAATGTAGCATAAATCCATCTTATGCAAAAATCAAACCCCCAAGGGCATCAAAGAAAATAAAAGCCAAAAAAAAAAAAAAAAACCCTCCAAAGGACAGCAACTTCAAGGACCAAAGGAACATCAGACCACACAGATGAGAAAAAACTAATGCTAGAACTCTGGCCACTCAAAAACCAGAATGTCTTATTCCCTCCATATAACTGAACTATTTCCCCAGCAATGGCTCATATCCAGGCTGAAATGGCTGAAATGACAGAAATAGAACTCAGAATATGGACAGAAATAAAGATTATTGATATTCAGGAGAAAGCCAAATCCCAACGCAAGGATTTTAAGGAATGTAATAAAATAATACAGGATACGAAAGATGAAATGGTCATTTTAAGAAAGAACCAAACTGATTTGATAGAGTTGAAAAACTCACTTCAAAAATTTCAGAATACTATCACAAGTATTAACAGCAGAATTGACCAAGCTGAGGAAAGAATCTCAGAGCTTAAAGACCAGTTCTTCAAAATAACTCAGTCAGAAAAAATAAAGAAAAATGATTAAATAAGAACAAATACTCTCCAAAAATATGGGATTATGTAAAGAGACAAAATATGTGTGTCATTGATGTCCCTGAAAGAGAGGGAGACAAAGCAAGCAACTTAAAAAATATTTCAGGATATTGTCCATGAAAATTTCCCCAGCCTTGCTAAAGAGATCAACATTCAAGTTCAAAAAATGCAGAGAACCCCTCTGAGATACTATACAACATGATCATACCTAAAGCACATAGTCATCATATTCTCCAACACCAAAATGAAAGAAAAAATGTTAAAATAAGCTAGAGAGAAGGGGCATGTTACCTATAGAGGGAAACTTAACAGGGTAACAGCAGACCTTTCAGCAGAAACCCTACAAGCCAGAAGAGATTGGGGACATACATTCCTAAAGAAAAGAAATTCCAACCAAGAATTTAATATACAGCCAAATGAAGCTTCATAAGCGAAGGAGAGATAGGATCCTAGTCCAGATAAGCAAATGCTAAGGGAACTTGTTACCCTAAGACCTATCATGGCTGGGTGCAGTGGCTCACACCTGTAATCCCAGCACTTTGGGAGTCCCAGGTGGTTGGATCACCTGAGGTCAGGAGTTCGAGACCAGCCTGGCCAAAATGGTGAAACCTCGTCTCTATTAAAAATACAAAAAGGTAGCCAGGAGTGGTGGTGCATCCCTGTAGTCCCAGCTACTTGGGAGGCTGAGGCAGGAGAATCACTTGAACCCAGGAGGTGGAGGTTGCAGTGAGACGAGACTGCACCACTGCACTCCAGCCTGGGCAACAGAGCGAGACCCTGTCAAAAAAAAAAAAAGATGTATCTTAAAAGAGGTACTGAAGGGAGTGCTAAATATAGAAATATGGAAAGGAAAAACACCTAATAGCCACCACAAAAACACACTGAGGTACATAGATCACTGACACTGTAAAGCAACCTCACAGTCTGCATAATAACCAGCTAACAACATGATGACATGATCAATTTCATACATACCAATATTAACCTTGAATGTAAACAGGCTAAATACACCAATGAAAAGGCACAGAGTGGAAATTTGAATAAAGAAGCAACATCCAATAGCAGACTGTCTTCAAGAGACCTGTTTCCCATGCAACGACACCAACAGGCTCAAAGTAAAGGGAAGGAGAAAAGTCTCCCAACCAAATGGAGAAAAGAAAAAGCGGGGATTGCTATTTTAATTTCAGACAAAACCTACTTTAATCCAACAAAGATTAAAAGAGACAAAGAAGGATATTACATAATGGTAAAGGTCTAATTCAACAAAAAGACCTAACTATGTTAATATATATGCACCCAGCATATAGGAGCACTGAGATTTGTAAAGCAAGTTCTTAGAGACCTACAAAGAGACTTTAGATTCCCACACAATAATAGTGAGAGACTTCAGCACTCCACTAACGTTATTAGAAAGATCATCAAAACAGAAAATTAACAAACATATTCACGACCTGATCTCAACACTTGACCAAATGGACCTAACAAATATCTAAAGAGCACTCTGCCCCAAACCAACAAAATATACATTTTTTATTATCTGCACTTTCTCTAAAAGCAACCATATAGTCAGCCATAAAATAATTCTTAGCAAATTCAAACAACCCAAACTCATAAAAACTACACTCTCAGACCACAATGCAATAAAAAATTAAAATCAATACTAAGAAAATCACTCAAAACCAAACAATTACATGGAAATTAAACAAATTGCTCTTGAATGACTTTTGGACAAACAATAAAATTAAGGCAGAAATAAAATATTCTTTGAAACTAATGAGAGCTAAGATATAACATATCAGAATCTCTGGGACATTACTAAGGTGGTTAAGAGGGAAATTTGTAGCACTTAATGCACACATCAAAAAGTCAGAAAGACCTCAAATTAACCACCTAACATCACACCTGAAGAAACTAGATAAACAAGAGCAAAACAACCCCAAAGCTAGCAGAAGACAAGAAATAACCAAAATCAGAGCTGAACCGAAGGAAATTAAGTTGTGGAAAACCATATAAAAATTAATGAGTCCAGGAGTTGGTTTATTGAAAGAATACATAAGACAGGTAGACCATTAGCTAGTCTAATAAAGAAAAAAGAAAGAAGATCCAAATAAACACAATCAAAAATGAATAAAAGGATGTTACACTGACCCAACAGAAATACAAAAAATCCTGAGACAATTATGAACATCTCTATGTACGTAAGCTAGAAAACCTAGAAGAAATGGATAAACTATTGGAAACTTACCACCTCCAACAATTACACAAGGGATACATTGAATTCCTGAACAGACTAACTACAGTTCCAAAATTGAATAAGTAGTAAAAAACCTACCAACCGGCAAAAGTTCAGGATCAAATTCACGGCTACTTTTTACCAGATGCATAAAGAAGGGCTTGTAACATTCCTACTCAAACTATTCCAAAAAAATTAAGGAGGAGAGATTTCTCTATAATTCATAATATGAGGCCAGCATTGTCCTGATACCAAAACCTGGCAGAAACAACAAAAAGAAGAATTCAAGGCAATATTATTGGTAAAAATAGATGCAAATATCCTCAACAAAATACTAGCAATCCAAATCCAGCAGCACATAAAAAAGCTAATCCACCATGATTAACTGGGCTTTATTTCTGGGATGCAAGTTTGGTTTAACATATGCAAATCAATAAATTTAATTCATTACATAAACAGAGCTAAAACAAAAAGCTAATGATCATCTCAATAGATGCAAAAAAGGCTTTTAGTAAAATTCAACCTCTCTTCATGTTAAAAGCCTTCAAAAAAACAGGCAATGAAGGAACATACCTCAAAATAATATGAGCCATCTATGACAAATCAACAGCCAACATCATACTGTACGGGCAAAAGCTGGAAGCATTCCCCTTTAAAACTGGAACAAGGCAATGATGCTCTTCTCACCACTCCTATTCAACATATAACTGGAAGTCCTAGCCAGAGAAATCAGGAAAGAAAAAGAAATAAAAGGCATCCAAATAGGGAGAGAGGAAGTCAAACTATTCTGCTTCCAGACAGTATGATTCTATACCTGGAACACCGAATAGTCTGCCCAAAAGCTCTTAGGTCTTTATAAACAACTTCAGCAACATTTCAGGATGCAAAATCAATCTAAAAAAATCAGTAGCATTTCTTTATACAAGCAACATCCAAACTGAGAGCTGAATTGAATGAAATGCCTTCTACAATAGCCACAAAAAGAAAAATGTCTAGGAATAGAGCTAACCAGTGAGGTGAAATATGTCTACAATGAGAATTACAAAACACTGATAAAAGAAATCATAGATGACATGAACAAAACTCTCAAAGCTATTTAGAGATTCAATACTTTCCCATCAATTTACCATGGCATTCTTCACAGAATTAAAAACAACTATTTCGTAATTCATACAAAATGAAAAAAGAGCCCTAATACCAAAGGCAAGCCTAGCAAAAAGAACAAAACTGAAAGCATCACACTACCCAACTTCAAATTATACTGCAAGTTGAACAAAATAGCATGGTTCTGGCACAAAAACAGACACATAGACCAATGGAACAGAGTAGACATCCCGGAAGTAATGCTGCACACCTATAACCATCTGATATTCAACAAGATAGACAAAAACATTGAAAAGGACTCCCTGTTCAATAATTGGTGCTGGGATAACTGGCTTGCCAGGTGCAAAAGATTAAAACCGGATCCCTTCCTTACACCATATACAAAAATCTGCCAAAGATGGACTAAAGACTTAAATGTAAAACCTGAAAATATAAAAACCCTGGAAGATATCCTAGGAAATACTATTCTGGTCATAGAATGTGACAAAGATTTCATGATAAAAATGACAAAAACAACTGCGAAAAAAATAAAAAAGTCATAAATGGGAATCATTAAACTAAAGAGCTTCTGCACAGCAAAAGGAACTCTAAACAGAGCAAACAGACTACCTCCAGAATGGAAGAAAGTATTTGCAGACAATGTAAATATAAATTTGTTTAATTTACTTATTGATTTTGGATACTAGACAAAGGTCTACAAGTAACTTAAACAAATTTATAAGCAAAAACAAACAACCTCATGAAAAAGCAGGCAAAGGACATGAACAGAAACTTTTCAAAAGAAGACATACGTACAGCCAACAAGCATATAAAAAATGCTCAACATCACTAATATTAGATAAATACAAACCAAAATCACAATGAGATATCATCTCACACCCATCAAAATGGTTATTACTAAAAATTCACAAATTAATAGATGTTGGGGAGGTTGTAGAGAAAAGGGAAAGCTTATACATTGCTGGTGGGAATGTAAATAAGTTCAGTCATTGTGGAAAGCAGTGTGGCAATTTCTCGAAGAACTTAAAACAGAATTACCATTTGAGCCAGTAATCCCACATTGGGTCTATACCCAAAGGAATATAAATTGTTCTATCACAAAGACACCTGAAAACTCATGTTCATCACTGCACTATTCACAATAGCAAAAACGTGGATTCAATATAAATACCCATCAACAGTAGATTGAATAAAGAAATTGTGGTGCATATAGACCATGGGATACTACACAGCCAAAAAAAACAAAATCATATCGTTTTCCAGCAACATGGATGCAACTGGAGGCCAGTATCCTAAGAGAACTAACAAGAACAGTTAATCAAATACCTCATGTTCACTCTTATAAGTGGGAGCTAAACATTGAGTACATACGGACACAAAGAAGGAAGCAACAGACACTGGGCCTACTAGAGGGTGGAGGGTATGAGAAGTGTGAGAAATGAAAAGCTACCTATTGCATTTTATGCTTCTTACCTGGGTGACAAAATAATCTGTACACCAAACTCCTGTGACATGCACTTTACCTATATAACAAACCTCTACGTGTATGCTGAACCTAAATAAAAGTTAGAATAATAAACAAAACCAAAAAAGAGCAAGTGTTTCTATATGGTCATGAATGATATCTCATTCCGAGAGAGGTGAGAGAGGCAGACTTTATAAAGAGATCACATTTAAATTATTTGTATTATTCTCCCAAAAGCACATCTAACCCATTACACCGGTTACTATTTATCAATTAATATCAACCAAGTGGTCCCCATCTAAGTTTCTTGCTTTGCCTCTTTATTATAATATGTGAATATGTCTAATTACATTTTAAAAATCAAGATTTTAATAATAAGGTGTCCTGAGACTCTTTGTAAACCCAAATCTCAAATTTCATAAATCCTACTTGGGAATTTGATTAACTTAATTTCTTTTTGGCATTCATCTGGTTTCCCCTTAAGTTTTTAACTGGAAACAAGGGCAACTTCTAATCTGGACAAGCCAATACTCATCGGATTTAGATATTATTCCTCCCCAAATTTGTATTACACATTATAAATATTTATAAAATACCTAATTATCGTGGAGAATAAGTTCTGCATGTTCATTATTTTCTTTATGCATGTGTTTGGTTTTAGAATAAGATAAAAATCTAGAAAATTGGTGATTCAAATCAATAATTGCCACCATAAATGTTTTAGGAATAATTTTCAGGAGTGTCCTTGGATATATGATTATAATATCTGATTAATTTTCTCAGCATTGAGACCATATTACAAGTTTGTTCATAAGCAAAGTGAAGTATAAGGAAAAGATTGTCAGAGAAACTTTTATTTCATATCTAACAGAAGAACAATAAATAACTTATTTATTAGTAGGAAAGATAAGCACCCATTTACTTTTTTTATTGGTCTGGTTATAGTATTTATATTTACTGCCTAGAATGACAAGATTTCATATTCATTTTATATATTAAACAAAATTATGATTTAATACAAGTATTTAAAATTAGCATACAGTTTCCTTTTTAAAAATAGTACGAAGAACACTTTTACTATGATTTGTAACTTTGACATTGTTGAGATCTCCTCTGTGACACAGTATACAGTCAATATTGGCAAGTGTTTATATTATTGTGGGTATATATTTCAAATCTTGTTACTTTAATTGTCTTTATACTATTTTTTATCAAATACATATTAATTTAGGTTACCCATGTATTTACCTTGCCCATTGCCCCTCAGCATACGGTGCCCTGGCTTGCCCTATCTTGCTGTGCCTTTTATGTTGACAGCACTGTATTATGAAATTATAAAGAGAACTGAGAGTTCAAGAGGATATGAGATTCAAGAGAAAGCTATTAATAATGAATATTTTCCTTGCCAGGCTCTGGAATCTAAATTTTGTCCCCTCAAACCAACACGTCTATTAGAAGCTCAACTTAGCTTCTTGGCATTTCTCACACAGCTTTTCTTTCAATATGGGAACAGATAAATGCCTCTAGTTGAACAGTCACCCTAAAAGGTAAGCTCACCTTTTGAGACTTTTCTTCTTTCCTGGACCTTGGTCTGACAATTCTTCACAGCCTCAGTTGCTCGCTAAAGCCTTCAAACAATCTTCAAGAAAATACATTAAAATATTTTGTCTGGCTTGTCTAGTTGTTCAATGAGAGAAGACTGGTTGAAACCACATACTCCACTACAGCCAGAAGTAGAAACCTGCCAAATAATTTTTAAACATGAAGCATTAACATTGTGGTGAAATGCATTTCACCTCCCTTTTTCTCCAAATAGGTTACATATAGTTCATGAATAAATATTAGTTTTGGTAGAATGATCCAGGTTTTCCATGAATTTTTATTCCTAACTTTTGTTTTTATTAATGAAAGTTTTAAGAACTAGTTTTCACATGTAAAGATAGGTAGTACTGGTCAAATTTTTTGTACAGTGATATCACTGAATTATTTTTATAACAGCTTTATAGTCAAAATAGCATAGTAAAATATCATAAAATTGATTTCATCATCTACCATTTGTAAGCCTAAGTTTTAATTAATTTTGTGGAAATCTATAAATTGGAGTCTCTTGAATTGTAATGGGATATGTTTCTCTGCTGCTTTCTTACTAGTAACATCAATTTGTTTAATCACTTTTGTATTTGATGCCTTGAAGATTTTTTTTTACATGCTAGCACAATGCTCCATATTAACACTTTGAGATGAATAAGAGACTTGCCTTTCTTTTGTAAAGGCAAAAGAAGGATTGTGCAGGGGAGATGGGAAAGTAAAACTAATTTTGCAACCTTTTGGCAGGTCAGTTTAGAAAAGAGTAAATGCAATAACAGGATTAGGAAATGAATACCTGCAAAAAATATACTGACCTGCGAGTCTCATGAAAAATCATCATATACTCCCTTGAATCATATACTCCCTGAATTTGAAGAAAGCTGATATACCTCCAAACCTCAGAAATTCTCAGCTCCAATACAGTTAGTAATTTTTTGCCTCAATATATAAAATAAATAGTGCTGGGTAGGCTTAAAACCCTTTGACACAGGCAGAGTTCCTATGTTTTTTTTTTCTTTTTCATACATTTCCTATCTTAACCACCCAACTAATAAACATAATCATATGATATTCCATTAGATTTAAGATTAGTATCATATTGTTTTCTGGCTTGCATTTACAAGTTGTATGTTTATTGCATTTTCCTTGATGCATAACTGTCATCCTATGAGGGTTGGTATTCAATATAATTAAAAATTGCTTAAAAATCTTTAATAATATTTTCTGTCATTTTCTTGACACCTTTTTCCTTCTTTCTTTCTTTCCTTCTTTCTTCTTTTTCTTTTCTTTTTTTCTCTTATGTGTCTTAAAACTTCTGTAATTAACAATAACTATTAAGACATGAGCATTTATGCTTCACTTCTTGTTTTAGATCCTATTAAGTAAATTCAATTTTTGTCTTTTTCTTGAATCCCCTCCTCTTTTGAAGTATACAGAGGGGATTAATGTTTAATATCTCCAATCTCTCTCTCTCTCTCTCTCTCTCTCTCTCTCTCTCTCTGTGTATGTTTGTGTTTGTGTGTATGTGTATTATATTAAAGACTGGTGTCATTCCACTTCTTGATTGTTCTTACAGGACATTTCCCCTCTTTATTCTTCTCAGACTTTCCTTCTTTACATCTCTGTTGTCTTTTAAGATTTAAAACTTTCTTCTCTTCTGCAAGCTTTTAGGATCTTCTCTTTATTCCAGGATTTTAATTTCAGAGTGGTGTATGATATATCTTGGAGTGACCCTGTTGGCATTCATTGATCTTTAATTCGGTGGGTCATTTCATATAAGAGTGTATCTTTGAGCCCTGGGAAATTTTTTGAATTATTTATTTGATTATGTATTTTTTCTGTTTTTATGGTTTTTTTTAAACACTCATACTCTAATTGGAATTCTTTTAATTTTTAATTTTTGTGGGTACCTAGCAGGGGTATATATTGATGTGTTACATGAGCTATTTTGATATGGGCATAAAATGCATAATAATCACATCAGGGTAAATGAGGTATTCATCACCTCAAGCATCTATCCTTTGTGTTACAGACAATCCAATTATACTCTTTTAGTTATTTTTAAATGCACAATTGAATTATTTTTTTACTATAGTCACCCTCTTTTGCTGGAAAATACTAGGTCTTATTCATTCTTTCAAGGTATTTTTTGTACCCATTAACCATCTGACATCCTCCCTCACTCCCACACTATCCTTCCCAGCCTCTGGTAACCATCCTTCTCACTCTCTATCTTCATGAGTTCAATTGTTTTAATATTTAGCTCTCACAAATAAGTGAAAACATGCAGTTTGTCTTTCTATGCTTGGCTTATTTCCGTTAACATAATGACCTCCAGTTCCATCCATGTTGTTGCAAATGACAGGATCTCATTCTTCTTACATCTGAACAATACTCCCTGTGTATATGTACCATATACCTAGATATTGCTGATGGTTATTTAGGGTGCACAGCTCTTTAGTCACCAGGTGATGGGTCCTGCCAGGACTGAGTCCTTCCCTTCAAGACAGCAAGTTCCCTTCTGGTGCAGGGTATGCCTAGAAATGTTATCTTGGATCTAGGGCATGGAATGGGTGACCTCACAACTCTGACTGGTGTCCTATCTTACTGTGACTAAGCTGGTATTCAAGATTCAAGACAAAGGTCCTCTTTACTCTTTCTTTTCCTCTCCTCAAGCAGAAGGATGGGTTCTGATCTGGAGCTGTAAGCTGTGCTGCCTAGGTTTCAGGGAGTGTTGGCACAAGTGCTCCCTTAGTTGCCCTGGCTGGTGTCTCATTAGGTCATGGTCCCCAAGTCCACTGACTATAAGCCCAGCTCAGCACTAGGACTTGCCTACAAGTTTCAGTCCTTATTGCCTAGACAGCCTTTCTAGTTTATGTAGTACCCCAGAGCACTTTAGCCAATGGTGGCAAGGCTTACCAGAACTCAAATTCTGACTGCTGGAAAGAGCCATTCCCCTCTGGTGAGAGCTGGTCTAAATGCTATCTCCATGGGTGGGATTCAGCTGAGTTCAGTGATGTTTTGCTTTCCATTGAGACAGGGGAGCATGAGTTTAATGCAATGTCTCGCAATCACTGTGCTCTCCCTCCTCCAAGCATACAGATTCTCTCTCTGCACCAGGCTACTGGAGTATGTGGGAGGGAGTGGCATCAGCCATGCAAGACTGTTTTCCCTGTGCTTTTCAGTGCTTCTTTTAGAGATACGAAGTTAAAACCAGGTACTGTGAATGCTCACTTAATTTTTGGTTCTTATGAAAGTGCTTTTTCTGTATAGCTGTTAAATTTGGTATTCCTGTCGGGGAGATGATTCGTTGGAGGCTTCTATTTGGCCATCTTGCTTCGCCTCTCTTTTTTCTTTTTTTGAAGCTTTTATTTTCCTATCTTTTCTCTCCTGTTTTTCATCAACATTTCAGGGGACTTCCTGAATATTGCCAACTAACCGTTCTATTGAACTTTGTTAAAATTTTTCTATAATATTATTTCTATAGTTCTATTTCTGATTATTATTAATTTTATGATATCTTGTTCATATTTCATCAGTGCCATATGTTCTATTATCTCCCTGAGGATAATAATTTGTATATAGGTGAACATAAACTTATGTAAGTATTTTCTTTCTGAGAATATAAAATAATTAAATGTATTTGCAAATAATGTGTGTGTATGTGTACATGTGTGTATATATACATATATACACACTATATATACACGCACACTATATATATATATATATATAGTTTGTTTCCTAAATTGTTTCTGCTTTTCTCTAATTAATTTTTCTTTTTTTTTCTTTCATCCTTGTCTTGTATGATAAGACTTTACTCAACTTTCCGACGAACCTTTAAGTATAATTTGGAGATGTATGTACATGGATGAGGATAGATGAAAAGAGGTTTCATTGCAGGCAATCTGGTGGGAATCAGATCATTTTTGGAGTAGGTCATGAAATATCATTTTCCTAGATTGGGGAGTACTAGTTACCTGGATTTGGGGTGACAAAATAGGAAATCTGGAATTTCTACTGTTCTGATACAGACTTTTAAATAACTATTCTGCTTTTCAGCCTTACCGTTTACCCCCTTCTCTTGAGATATTTGTTCACTCAATAAATAAAACTTTCTAGAGTGTCATATTGCAGTTCAATTTGATTTTTTGAGGTGTGGCTTTTCTTTTAACACTTAGATTTCAGTGTTCACTGCTCGTCTAAATCAGTTAACACTCTAAACTAATTTACTCTTCTATAATTTCACTGACATCTCCCATCTGTTGTCATGCTCTCTGCTATTCTCTTTGTCTTCCTTGGTTTATAAAATTATATGTCTTTACTGGTGCTGAACTGGAATTTTGTGAAGCAGAAATAGTAAAGATATTTCTCAATATATTTATCTGAAGAATTAAAGTTGATTTCAAGGCCAGTGGTATTTTCTGATATTGATATGAGAGGAGTAAATATTTCAGTTTTTAAAATCAAAGAAGTAAACATCTAGAGGAATGAATCTACCTTGCCTTCACACTCAGGATATCATATTACCAAACTGCTTAAATGATGTGCTGTAATAGAATGAGACTGAGAAATAGGATATACTCTTATTTCCATCTTGTTGCAATAACTCGTGTGTGTGTGTGCATGTGTGTCTGATTCCTCTTTCTAACATCTTTAAAGCCTAAGGCACCTTTTTTTAATATACTGAAAAATGACAAATATTGTTCTTTGAAGCACAGACCCTAGTTTATCATAAGAAGTGCTTATCAGTTTTTTAGTATATATTTTCAAAACTATGTTTAAAGAATAATATAAGACCAAAAGAATGGGCTTGCCTATTTTTAGATAAATTTTGGAAAAACAACAAATCTATTTTTCTTACTCTTCTTCTCAATTTATTTAAGTATGTTTTATCTTCAAAATTCTATATTTCTTTTTTCCTTTTTTCCAAATACTTTTTAAGTAGTCTCAATCATTTCACAATTGGCTAATTAGTGATATGCACATAGTTTTCAAATTGACATTTACAGCCCTGTTTTATTCTTGAGCAGCATAACTACATTTTCGTTTCTTATTAGACACTTAGATCCTAATATTTTTCATCACCTCAACTCATATTTAAAAATGCTGTTTTTGTCACAATTTGATTGTGATTATAAAGAATGAAATACTGTTTTTTCTTTCTCATAAGAATTATTTTAATTTACTTCCCCAAAAAGAAAATATAGCTACTTTGCTTCCAGAAAGACGAAGTAGATATCTTTGTATAACTAGAATCCCTGAAAATTATATATAAAATAAGCACTAGAAGACTGAAAGGTAGAAAGAAAACAGATGGCCTAGACACATAGGATACAAGAAATGACATGGTGTTGAATTCTGTAGGTTTTCTTTTTGCCTCATATATTGCCAGCTTGGAGCTAAAGAAGCCAGCAATTCCAAAACATGAATAGATACGCACCACCAAAAACAGACTTCCACTGTTGACAAGTTACAACAGCTCACCTTAATGCTCCCTTCAGGGTGGTGTCAGAAAAGGCTGAGTCAGGAGGCAGAACTTTCATCTTCAATGAGCAGTAATAGGGTCACACCTGTTGTGCCAATGGAGATCATGTGGAAATCCTGGGCTTCCATCCTCAACTGGCCATGACAAATCAATCCTCCCTCTCACCAATGGGATGATGTCAGAGTGCTAGATGAGGCCTAGTGAACAGTCCGACTTTCATCACAGCAAAATGGTAACGAGGCCATCACCACTCCCTCATTATATCAATGGAAACCATGTATGAAGCAGTAACTCCCCACAGAAAAGACAGAGAAAAAAATAATATGTTAGAAGGTAGAATAGTAAAAATTACCAATTTGAATATCAGAGACAAAGCAGACTATAAACAAAAAGGCTCAGAGGCTTCTCTGACTATAACAGAAGATATAACATTAGTGTCACTGGAGTCACAGAGGGAGAGGAGAAAGATGTCAGCATGAGAAATCACATGGCCATATCATTCAATGTACACACACAAAATAACACTTGATAACCACTTCATATTTATTCATAACAAAAACTCCCAGAAAAATAGGAATGGAGATAACTAACTCATCTTGATAAAGTATACAAAAAACCTCTAGGTAATGTTATACTTAATGATGAAAGACTTGGTGTTTTTCTCCTACAATTGAGAACAAGACAAGAATATCTATGGCGCTCAGGTTTATTCAGCATAAAACTGGAAGTTTTTGCCAGTGCAATAATGGAAGAAAGAAATAATAAAGATACACAGCCAGAAAAAGAAGAAACAAAACTGTCCTTATTATAAATGATGTAATTGTCCCAATAGGAAACATCAAGGAATCTACCAAAAAACATCTAGAACTTACAAGTATGTTTAGCAAGTTTGGAGGGTATTAAATACATAGTAAAAAATCAATTGTATTTCTAAGTACTAGTAGTAAATATGTGGATACTAAAATTAAAAAATACAATAAGATTTTCAATCATTAGATATTAATAATTTAACATTAAAGTTTAAATAATATTATGTATTAATTCATACCTAAATTAAATATTTAGGTATAATTCTAACCAGAACTGTATAGAACTTATATGCTTAAAAATAGAACCCACTGCTAATAGAAATGAAAAATGTAAATAGATGCAAAGAAATACTATGCTCATGGACTGTAAGACTCAACATGGCAAAATTGTCAACTGTCTTCAAATTGATATACAGATTTAATGCTTTTCCCTTCAAAATCACAGTAATATTTATGTAGATATAGATATAAACTATTTTAATATTTCTGTAGAAAGGCAAAATATCTAAAATTACTAAAACAATTTTGAAAAAGAGTATAAAATAGGGGGAAACACTCTAACCAATTTCAAGATCATGATATAGAGTACTCAAAACTGTGCGTTATTGATATTTCAATTAATATGGAGAGGATAAACACTCAGATCAATATCAGATCAATAAAACAGTATAGCGCATCCAGAAAAGGCCGATATAAATATGCCCAACTGATTTTTTTTTACAAAGGTGCAAAAGCACTTCAATGAAGGAAAGATAGCCTTTCAACAAATGGTGCTATAGCAATTTGGACATCAATAGTTAAAAAATAAAACTCAATCTATGTCTCATACATTATATAAAATATTAGCTCAAAATACATCACAGACTTATGTATGAAATCCAGAACTTTGACACTTTAAAACAACATACAAAAGTCTTCATAATCTAGGGCTAGGCAGAGTACTTAGTCTTGACACTGAAAGCATGGTCCATACAAAAAATTTGATGAATTAGACTTCAACAAAATTAAACATTTTCTTTTTCTGCAAAACACTCTATTAAGATGAAAAGACAAGATACAAAATTGAGAAAGAATATTTATAAACAATGTTTATGACAAAGCACTAGGATCTGGTATATGTAAAAAACTCTTGAAACTCAACATTAAAAAAAAATTATCAATCCAATTAGAAAATTGCCAAAAAAAAAAAAAAAACCACGGGGAACATTTCAGTGAAGAGACACAGATGGCATATGTATTAGTCTTCTAGTACTGTCATAATAAAATACCACAGACTAGGTGGCTTAAACGATAGAAAAAAATTTTTTCATTGCTCTGGAGGCTAGATGTCCAAGATTTAGGTGCCCTTAAGAGTTGTTTGCTAGAGAGGCCTTTCTTTCTGGCTTGTGGATGACCATCTTCTCATTGTGTCCCTACACGACCTTTTCTCTGTGCAGTTCAGGGACAGAGAGAGCTCTCTCATATGTCTTCCTCTTCTTATGAGGACACCAGTCCTACCAGACCAAGGCCTCACCCTTAAGACCTCACTTAACCTTTATTTCCACTATATAGGCCCTCCTATATAGTGCACTTTATTCTTGTTTTGTTGTGTATTAATATGAAAACCATGACAAATAAAGTCATATTTATCTCCAAATAAAGTCATATTGAGGGTTAGAGCTTCAATATATGATTTTTATGGGGAAGACCATTCAATCCATATCAGCATATAAATCCATAAAAGATGTTTCAAGTCATTAGTAACCAGGAAAATGCAAATTAAAGCCACAATGATATATCATTACTAACACCAAACCCTAGCATGTATTCAGAAAAACTAGATCATTAAAACATCACTGCCAACAATGTAAAATGGTCTAGCCACTATACAAGATGATCTGGTGTTTTCTTAAAATATTAACAGTAAAATTATCATACAATCCAGCAATTGAATTCTTGGACATTTTCCCCAAAGAAATGAAATTGTATGTTCACACAAAAACCTGTACATGAATGTTTATCATACCTTTATTTGTACAGTCTAGATACCCTATATGAGTTGGAAGGTTAAACAAAGTGAACATAGATACCAGGGAATATTACTGAGCAATAAAAAGGAAATAAACTACCAATGCATAAACAGCTCAAATGGATATCAAAGGCATTATACTTGGTGAAAAAAATGCAATCTCAAGTGATCACATACTTTATGTGACATGTTAGTTACAGTTATATAACATTTTTGAAGTTGACAAAATTTAGAGAAATGAAGAAGAGTTTAGTGCTTGTCAGGAACTAATGAGGTGATAGGGGCCAAAGGAAAAGTAGATGTGGCTATAAAACAGTAATGGGGGATCCTTCCAGTGATGGGACTCTTCTGTCAATATCCTTGTTGTGGTATTATACTATAGTTATTAAGATGTTATCATTGATGGAAATTATGTAAAGGATACAAGGGATCTCTATTATACTGAAATTTTCATCTGAATTTATACTTAAAATAAAAAAAAATTTATTTAAAACTCCAGAATTGCAATCAAAACTACTAGCATAACTATATATATATATATATATATATATATATATATATATACATATACAACTAAAGTAGTCTCTTTAAAAAAAATCAAAATATATTAGAAACACAGGCAATATAGTTAAAAAAAGAAATTCATAGACTTGAAGATGACTAAATTAAGCTTGTTAATTTATATGGAGAAAGAGCTCTCTTATTCTCATTAAAGTTTATTATTTGTCTAGTATTAAGTCTCATTAATTTATACTCACTTCTTTGTCACTGTAGAAATGTACTGCAGATGACCAGAAGGAATTAGTGTATTTTTTTTCATAAAATTTATGATTTCATTTACAATTGGGATTTTGTGTTTAAGGTTCTTTGTGTGGATATCATCATTCCACTAAAAAGGCAAGGTAGGTGAGGAAGAAGCATCAGGACCTCTTATATAGATGCTTAGACTCAGAATTACTTTTCGTCATGGTTTTTGTATTAATACACGACAAAACAAGAATAAGCACAATATTCCGAATTTTGAGTCCTTTATTCCAGTGGTTAATACTGAATATTATTTTAAAAAATATCTATTCTCTTTTATTTGAAGTTTTACCAATGTCCTCATAAGACCTGTGCTCTGATGTATACACAAATTACAACTTGAAACGATGCTCATATCCTTAGGAAAAGGGTGGTGGCATGTGGGATGCAATTTAAGTAGATCTGGGGACAAATGTTGGAAACTGGTTGGATTTATTGTTTGTTTTTGGTGTTTTTAATCCAAGATTTTCCTAAATATTTAGGTGGTAGGCTGAATTTTCTAGATAATTAGCTCTATTCTCTACAGGGTTATTACAATGGGCTTGGCCTTTAGTTTGTTGATTTTACCTGCCTTGCTTTGCATGCATGTGAAGAAGTCATTGCATCCACTTAAGCATTTATGGCCACAGGTTATGTTGCCTATTGAGGAGACCTTGCTCTATCTCAGTAAACAAGGGTGCCCATCCACATTCAGCAGCGCTTAGCAACATGAATAATCAAATCAATAGCTTGCAGTTGTGCATATAAAACCAATTTTAAAATATACCAAGTTCATTTCTGGAAACTGTTACAGATCAAGGCTTATTACATTCTATTTTTTTCCTAGTGTCTTTAGGAAAGAAATTTGTTGATGTTGAACTAAGTGAGCAACAGAATTGTTCCTATTTAGTGTGGTCAAGCTCTAATTTGCAACTAGGATTTCAAGGCAACTAAGTGCTAATTTGCAGGTCTATAATACATGTTATTTAGCTACTTCAAAGCATGGTTATAGACAGTCAAGACAACAGAATTTTTTAAAGAGAAGAAAATTATCACAGTCATGCTTCCAAAGAAAATAAATAATTTTAAAATACCTAATTACTATGTATCTGCTTAGGTTTTATGTAACACCAAAAATAATTTGTGAGCAAAAATACAAAAATATAAAACTAAAACTTAAACACACACACACATTTTTATTTCTTCTTGTAAAATACCAAAAACTCTTGCATCAGGATTATATAATGCAAATCTTATTAAATTTACTCACATGATGACTGTATCCTTTCCCATTCAAGCATAATAAATATAGGTGTTTCTTGTCATTTTTTTTTTAAATTGGAGATGACAATTATATGGACTTTCCTGTTATGACCAATTTCACACAGGATTGGTGGTCACATTTTACTATATTTTGACTTTGCTCTGTTTTCATGTTCCAGGGAGAAATGAACCGACAAGAGATTACTTATATAGGAAAAGTTGACACACATCACGGAACACATAATGATATCCTCTTATTCATAATAGTCCATATTTTGATAAATAAAATTCAAAAGTGAAAGATTAAATTATTAAAATAATTAATAATGACTGGAAGTACTTGATGAAACCAGATCAATTTTGAGAGTAAAACACTGTTTTCTAAATATGAGAGAGGAAATAAAAATACAACTTCACTGTGTAGACATTTAAACCTTGTACAAATTTGACTGGGCTAAAAAAATTAAATGGTTTAATGATAAATTAAACTTTAAATTTAGAATATATTGAGAATATTCATGTCATTACAACTTGTACATATTTTAATATAAATATTTGTGGCAATGAACAACCTACTTTGAAATTAACCTAGGGAGGTGATGTATCCCATAAGCCTCAAAATCTCTGGATCCAATGTCTCTAGGGGACATTCCCAGGCTCTTTTTGTAATCAGCTGGTACCCTATATCCATGGTGCCACAGCCAAGTAGCCTGTGTATAGTCTATCAAAGAATAATAATGATTGTATTATTGTTTTTTCTTTTTTTAAAAGAAACGTTTTCTATTTTTATCTAAAATAATGTACATAAAAAGAGAAGAAAAGCAAGTACCATTTAATTTATATCTAATCCTGTAACCTATTTTTATTGGCTCAGTTTATGACTATATATAACATCTGAAGACATGTATAAACATTAAGCATTGTTCTAGGTTCATTAAAATCAGAAAAATAGTTTACATCAGCTAACAAAATTAAATTGTAACTTCACATTAAAATGTGATATTTCCTTTATTCTAGAGAGGCTATGAAACTCTAAAGCATAGTGGCAATCAATCTAAACTTCAGACATGGAGTTTTGCTGCTTCAGTTCTTTTCAGGCCATGTCATTAGTTGAAATAACTCCCCTCGGCTTATTTACACTTTAAAGATTTTTTCAATGCCTAAAAAGAACATTTTCAAATAAAATTTCTTAACCTGAAAGCTAAAGTAATCAGGGTATCTAAATGTGTTTTGACTACATCCGTTCTTTAAAACACTATTACCCAGAATGCTCAATTGGCAGTGGAGTTCTCCACATTGCAAACTCTGTCTTGGATTTGAAACCTATGGCATCTCTGACTTGGAGTTAAAATCTAAGCATTACTACCATTTCAGTTAAACTGTCAGCTAAAAGATTTTGAAAACTTAGCAGTATAATTTGCTAGACTCTTTCCCTATCTGTGATCAAAACAGTTATGGCCTAAGTTTAAGCAAATGAGATTAATTTCGATGGGCAAGAAAACAATTAGGGCTTCAATTGTTTTAGTTTCACTGACATTTTGAAGTCATTTTTGACCTACTTTTCACCTTGTCACTGAGTCTTGTTTTCTATCCACACATGAAAGATACTCTGTTATGGAAATTGAACAGAACATTTTCAGATTTTTGTTTGATAGCATGTTGTTATCAACTTTTTATTACATTTTATGACATCTGGTTGATAACCTTTAATAATTAGAGACTTAATTTTGTTACCTAGAAGAGCAAAATGGATTTAAATATGCAATAGAACAATATTTTAAAATATGTCCCAAAATATAATGTGTAACATTAGGTGAAGAGCAATGTCAACCCTTTTGAAAACTCTTTTCCAAATGTGGGTACACAGAATACAAAAAAAAAAAAAAAAAATAAAGGTCAATATAGATGTTCTGAAGGAATTGTCGGGCCACGTCTGTGATTTTTCTACTCATAGCTTGTAATTTTCAAAGACTCTCACATCTGAACCTTTGTTATTATGTACTTATGTTTCACTGAAGTATATCCTTACGTGTTGTCTTTCACTTTTTTTTTTTTTTTTTTTTTGGGAGACGGTGTCTTGTTCTGTTGCTCAGGCTAGAGTGCAATGGCATCATCTCGGCTCACTGCAACCCCTGCCTCCCAGATTCAAGTGATTCTCCTGCCTCAGCCTCCCGAGTAGCTGGGTTTACAGGCGCCTGCTACCATACCTGGCAAATCTTTGTATTTTTAGTAGAGAAGGAGTTTCGCCCTGTTGGCCAGGCTGATCTTGAACTCCTCACCTCAGGTGATCCACCCACCTCAGCCTCCCAAAGTGCTGGGATTACAGGCGTGAGCCACTGCATCAGCCGTCTTTCACTTCTTTTGTAGATTTTACAGTGTCCATTCATGCTTTAAATATGGCAGCGATTACTTGATGTGTCAAGATATTATTTCATTGTCATTCATGAGAAACAGCAAGGCATAATTTCAGATGGGGCTTGTGGTATGTCAAGTTGTTCAATACGTATATTAAAAATATCTTAGAGCATTCATGAGATGTCTTAATCAAATGACCTTTCAACCTGTCCCTAGCTGTCCCTATTTAAAGAACAAACCCATGATGTTGAAAAAAATTTTTTAATGTAATGTTATTTAATTTCTAACCTTTTTCTTAATCTTCTCTGCTTATTAAATAATTTCAGCAATATACTTCATCTAGTCTTAAGAGTGCACATCAGTTAATCACAACATATCAAACTGCTTAATTAAATTTAGCTGTAAGACACATGAGTCTGATCCCACCAGTGAAAGGAGTTTAAAATACTGACATCTTATGAACTGCATTAATTTTCAGAATACTAGGGTGACTTCTCTGCAGTCATGCGATGAGATTCTTGTATTTTACAGATTTGTTAAACTGTCATAAGCAAGAAAAACTGAGTTAGTCTCATTTACCATTTTTAGTTCAGATAACTGAATATCAGTTAATCCTGATATGGGACAGCATGTTGATTAAGCAATTTGCATATTCACTTAAACAACATCTTTTAAAAAACACTTTCAAATATCCTAAACAGAATATGCAATCCTGATCTGGCCGTAGGAGAAAAAGTAAGATGTTTCCATAACTGGTAACAAATAGCACTGCAGAGTAGTCAGCTACATTATAGCTATTTTCAACAGTTACATGATGAATTGCCTGTTACTCTGGAGGCTAGTTTTTCCGTGTTAAAATTGACAAAGTTGTTCATGTAATCTGCACTGTAATTCTTATTGTGTTAGTAAGTTTTGTCACAACAAGGTGATAATTTATATACATAATACAATAGGAGATACCCAGTTATAATGTTGGCCTATAGCCAGACATTTTCCTCAATTGTATGCTTTATAAGAATAAAAAATACCTTTATTTTCTTGTTGACATTGTAGTATCTATTTAACTGATCTAAATAAAAGAGGAAAGGCATCTTGGAATTGTTAATAATTTGGTTTTTCACTAAGTTACTACTATTGGTGTGAGTTTTTTGAATACTTTATAGTCTCTTTCAAATTCTTCAAAATAATGGCTTTAGTTCAGTATAAATTTGATGACAAAAATATTTGTGTTATTTGAAAGCATTGGTATTCAACTCTTAAAGCATTAATAAGTATCTTGTCAAAATGGGTAATTGGAGAGTTTGGGATCAGATACCAGTGGCTACTTAATTATTATAATTTCTTCATGTAGACCTGGATTCTTCCTTCAATCTTTTCTATTTCAGTTGAAACATTTGATGATGGGACTATGACCCAGAAGCCCCAAATTTTGTATTTTATACTTGAATCTAGAATTTTTCCTTATTTTTACACAATTACTAACATAACAGGTAAAATATAGAATTAAGACAAACTTTAAAATTTAGGTATTTGAGAAATAGGAAGTGTATCCAATTCCTCAAAATAAAGCCTGTCTTGCCCTGTGCAATAGTTATTATTCCTTTCTCAGCATTAATTAATTTAGCTGGAACATCACATAATTAAAGAGTTGATGATAACTTTGATACATAAAATTGGTTTTTGTTTAATGTTGAAAATTATTCAAGATCAAAAGGAAATAAAAACAGGAAAATGTGATTTGAATGATCATTACTACTATATCTACAAGTAAGAGAGAAGACAAATTAGGAAATTAATAAACAATCCCAAATGTAATAATTGTATTTTCAGCAGTGTTGTATAATTGACACACAAAGCTATTAAGTAAATGTGATATACTATAGAGTTTCTTCTACCCTCACCTGTGAAGAATGACTGAAAAGGCATAAGCTCAGTAATTGCTTTAATTACCAGAGATTCTCCAGTTTAGGTAGGAAAAATGAAATATGTAAGTTCATTCCTCATGAAAGCACATTTTGGTTAAATACCTCCAAACATCTGGGTATATTACTGCATTGCATGGTGAATGAAAATTTCAATTGAGATATATTTTTAAAATGGTTACAGTTCTATTGAATGGAAGAAATATCTGGGCTATTCTTAAACTTTGATCTCAGATATTTGTGGTTACAAATAAGTCTCTCAAGTATATTTATTAGTTTATTTTTCATTAAAGACATATAAATATTAAATTTACATTCTATACATGTATATATTCAAATTTCTAAAATCTTATGAAATTACTATTTTTAAAATAGTGCCTTGAAGGGCAACATTTTTTTCCTTTGTCATCAGGAAGACTTCTAAATAAGGTTGTAATTCCTGATTTCTTCAATCGAATAAAACTTTTGGGAAAAAAGCATGTTTTAAAATGATTTCTAAAATATTATTACAGTGTTCAGCCATCTTTGCCGTCAGAAAATTTCAAAATTAATGTAACAATTTTGCAGCATAGCAACATTTATAAATCTACTCTCCTTCTCCAACTCCCTTTAAAATACTGAAGGAAATATTTTAAGTGTTCTGACACATCATAAGCATGACCATATCAGAAAAAAAAAAAAACCCTGGTGCAGCTGTAGAGAAAAAAACACAAGTTTAGACTCACTGCAGCCTGCCTACCTCAGGCACTATGACTGGCTATGCTACCCTCACAACCCTCGGGAGGGCAGACTCCACTGTGGAGTCCTTTGTAGACCTTCCCTTCCTACCCAGGGCTATGTTTGAGATCTTTTCAATTTCCTGAAGTAAAAGCAACATTTTTTTCCCATTTATCTGCAGAGCCCTGAGAGCATAAACTTCTTAATTTGATAAAGTAAACTGTGACAGTGTGTTAATGAGGGCTGAGCCATTTGTATATTTTAATAGTAATTTTCTAGAGATAATTATTTCACCTCAATTCAAAGACGTGCCTCTAGCTATGGGAATTTTATTTCAGATGTAAACAGATCAGGACCCCATGGTATTCTGGAACACTCACCGTTTCCATCATCTCTTTTTGTATTATTTGCACTCTCTGTTCTTTGTTCAGGGCTGGAGATGAGTAGGCTTGGGGATTGGGAAGGGATCCGTTATATTTCAAAGCTCTTTCAACCCTGTGGGGATGATGCTTACATTGAACCAAGGACTCTAGTAGTGACCAATTCTTTCTTTTCTGAACCACCACTGCAATATGAAAGAAACTCAAATTTAAAGCATAAGCTAACTGTTCAATCACTTACCAGTCCTTTCTGTCTCCCTCAAGAGGATGCATGGCCATGCTTTCAGCTGGGTTTAATTCTAAACAGCAAGTCATAGTGGCAGAAAGGAAGGCATGCTTGTAGACTTAGACTCTGCCTTTAATTCTGTCACAGATTGTCATGTAATTATAAACCAGCCAGTGTTTGTTTTTTGTAGGGAAAAGACAGAGAGATCAGACTGTTACTGTGTCTATGTAGAAAAGGAAGACATAAGAAATTCCATTTTGATCTGTACTAAGAAAATTGTTTTGCCTTGAGATGCTGTTAATCTGTAACTTTAGCCCCAACCCTGTGCTCACAGAAACATGTGTTGTATGGAATCAAGGTTTAAGGGATCTAGGGCTGTGCAGGATGTGCCTTGTTAACAATATGTTTACAGGCAGTATGCTTGGTAAAAGTCATCACCATTCTCCATTCTCAATTAACCAGGGGCACAATGCACTGCGCAAAGCTGCAGGGACCTCTGCCCAAGAAAGCCTGAGTATTGTCCAAGGTTTCCCCCGACTGAGACAGCCTGAGATATGGCCTCATGGGAAGGGAACGACTGGACCATCCCCCAGCCCCATACCCGTAAGGGGTCTGTGCTGAGGAGGATTAGTAAAAGAGGAAGGCCTCTTTGCAGTTGAGATAAGAGGAAGGCCTCCATCTCCTGCATGTCCCTGGGAAGGGAATGTCTCGGTGTAAAACCAGATGGTACATTCCTTCTATTCTGAGATAGGAGAAAACTGCCCTGTGGCTGGAGGCGAAATATGCTGGCGGCAATGCTGCTCTGTTACTCTTTGCTACACTGAGATGTTTGGGTGGAGAGAAGCATAAATCTGGCCTACGTGCACATCCAGGCATAGTACCTTCCCTTGAACTTATTTGTGACACAGATTCCTTTGCTCACATGTTTTCCTGCTAACCTTCTCCCAACTATCACCCTGTCCTCCTGCCCCATTCCCCTTGCTGAGATAGTGAAAATAGTAATCAATAAATTCTGAGGGAACTCAGAGACTGGTGCCAGTGCTGGTCCTCCCTATGCTGAGTGCCGGTCCCCTGGGCCCACTGTTCTTTCTCTATACTTTGTCTCTGTGTCTTATTTATTTTCTCAGTCTCTTGTCCCACCTGACGAGAAATACTCACAGGTGTGGAGGTGCTGGCCCCCTTCAGTTTTTTGTTTGTAAGAGCTGAAAATAACAAAGATTTATGAAATTTGATGAAAATGGTAATGGGGTAACTTGGATACTACATTAATGTTTCTGATACACATTGTTTCATAATGAATGTATTAGAGAACATAGTAAGGAAATTATGTGTCAGTATGCTCTCTTAGCAAAGATTAATAATAATTTACATAATAGTGCCAGACATTCAGCATGCTCAGATTGAAGGGGAAAATTATTGGTGAAGGGAGTGGTTCAAAAGGACAGAGGATAGTAGTAAGTAGGACGGCACCGGCAAAATTGCAGGATCATGGGCTCTCACAAAAGAACATAGTTTCTGGAAACTTCCCTAACAGGATTGACTTGGAATTTAGACCCACGCTGCTGGTTAGAAGACAAACTAACCTTATGTAAGCCTCTTCCAAGGACAAAGTATTCTGTTTCATACTATGTCTGCCCTGAAGCTCTATGCACTTCTCCTCATGATTTCAAATATAATAACTATGTGTACACTTCAGTTCTCATACTTTTATGACACTGAGTGCAAAAGAAAAGAGAGCATTGGTATTCTAGTTTCCTCAGTAAGGTATCTAAAGATGGAATTACTTCCTATGCACTTCCAAACCGAAATGTAGGAACAGGAGATATTGCTATCTGCACTTTGAAGAGGAGAAAAATGATAAGAAAAAGGTAATGAATAATGTGATCATGTTTTGTAAACTAGGAGAATTGTTTTTTCATGGGTATAATAGATCTTCACTAATATTTTAAAATTTAACTTATGATTTTTAATTTTGTGCAATCTATCAGTTTTAGAGCTGATATTTCAGAGGATGATTATATCAGAAGAAATGCATAATGTTAGTAAAGTATAAATTTTATATGCATTATTACTTTATTTTAAAATTTATTTAATTTCCTCTTGCGATCAAAGAATAAAATAAAACTGTCCTTGGAAGAAAGACAAAGTTATAAATACCAACCTTAACCCAGCCATTAACATACTGAATATTAGGCAAATATTTGATTTGAAAGATGCAGATAATGATTTTACTGGAAATTGTTTTTGTAAGGAATTATCTCATTGCTTTAGTTCTTTAGGTTAAAACAAAATGAGATTATATTATATTAGAAACATAACACTGCCAAATAATAAGGTATGGAGAGAATGTAGGTGACACATCATTAAATATAAAATTCATAATTCTAATGCTGGGGCATAAACTTGCAATATTAACATATGTTGAAAATATTTGATAACATTCAGCTTTCACATTAATAAGCATTAGACATTTCCATGTTCAGGTACTCTGAATTTTCAGAATTCCATTGCCTTTCATATCTAGCCTATGACAAGTATAATCAGAGAAAGAACATGGAGCATGTCTAAAATTAGTGGTGGTGAAGCTCATTATAATATAAGTAAAATGGCCGGGCCTGGTGGCTCATGCCTATAATCCCAGCACTTTGGGAGGCTGAGGCGGGTGGATCACGAGGTCAGGAGATCTAGACCATCCTGGCTAACACGGTGAAACACCGTCTCTATTAAAAAATACAAAAAATTAGCCAGGCGTGGTGGCGGATGCCTGTAGTCCCAGCTACTCAGGAGGCTGAGGCAGGAGAATGCTGTGAACCCGGGAGGCTGAGCTTGCAGTGAGCCGAGATGGTGCCACTGCACTCCAGCCTGGGCGACAGAGTGAGACTCTCTCAAAAAATAATAATAATAATAATAAAAGTAAAATATATTAAATTCTCATTATAGACCAGGTGCAGTGGCTGGCATGTGTAATTCCAGCACTTTGGGAGGCCCAAGGCAGGTGGATCACTTGAGCCCAGGAGTTCGAGACCAGCCTGGACAACATGGGGAAACCCCTGTCTCTACAAAAAAATTAGCATGGCTGTAGTCCCAGATAAGCTGGAGGCTGAGGTGGAGGGATCACCAGAGTCACCATCGTGCCCCTGCACTCCAGCCTAGGTGACAGAATGACACCTAGGTGTCGTTTGAGACACATTCTAGGTGACAGAATGTGTCTCAAAACACACACACACACAGACATCCGTCGACACACACACACACACACACACACATATATATACAGCATATATGGGTAGAACTATCAATAAACCTTAATCCTAACATTGTTATTTGGAATTTATTTACACTCAGATTTGTATTTGATTTCATTTGTTCTCAGTCAGAAATTAGGGTCAGTTGTGCTATTTTCAATTTTCCACACACAGCAATAGTGCACTGTATTACATATGGTTATTAATATTGTGTCATTTATTGATGTGTCTGATGTATTTTGTTTTTTCTTTTAAAAAAGTACATTTTTGGCAAGTTTTAGAGCTCCAGTATTTTCTGGCTGTAATACTTTTGACTGCTGAAAGTAACTTTGGTACCTGCTTCTCACCTATGTTCTAATTAGCATCATTATTTTATATTAGGTTGGTGCAATAATATAATTGTGTTTTTTTCCATTACTTTCAATGGCAAAAACCGCAATTACTTTTGCACCAACATAATAGTATTTTCCAAAACCACCTGATGTGGCAAATTTCACAAAACTGTTTCATTTTAGGGGCAAATATCTTATTCTTTCTATAGATACTAATGATGCATCTATCGTTCCAGTTATTATTCTACTCATTAGGGACGTAGCAGTGACAGATAAAACTACAGTCCTCATATAGTTTACTTTTCAGATAAACAGTCAATAAACAAAGACCTAAATAAACTAATAGCATCAATTCTTCCTGTGGTTAGTATCATGGAGAAAATACAACATAATTTAATAAAATAACAAATTGTGCTGTATATGGTGTGTGGGTGTAGGAAGCAATTTTCTTGGATAGGACAGCTGGAAGGAGGTTACTTTATTCCTTGGTGGTGAAGAAAACAAAGGCATTTTTATTAATTCCAAGAAATTTGAACATTTTACAGAAATTCTAGAATCCCAGAGATTTCAAAGTAATCTATGCAAAATACAAGAAAAGACCTTCATTTACTGGTGAACATTTTGGGACTGATGATTGAAAGAGGTCAATGAGTCACGGAATTCTAAGCTTTTTATTTTAATGACAGGAAAAATAGGCCACCCTATCTAGAGTCCTTAAAAAAAGATGTGACTATATTCATTCTCAGGGCTCTAGAATAAACTTTGTCTCTCCTTCTCACTTGGTTTACTTCACAATGAATATCCATATAAATTTTTCTTCACTATTGTTTATGTTTAATGTATGTTTTGTTGGAAGAAAGTCTGGTATGTCAGAATCAAACAAAACTTATTAAAATTTCTATTCTGCTGCAGAAAAACTCCAATTAGAGGCACCACAAGTCTAGGCCAGCTCGACCCAAGTTTGTTGTTATGGCAAAATTATTAATAGTGTTCCCTTCCCCCTCGAATTGTACTGACTTGGAAAATAAATTATATGGTCATTCCAGCTATAGAGGTCTTTATATAAAAGTAATTTTCTTTTTCAATTAATTGTTTTGAGAACGAAACATAATTATAAATTGTCAATACATGTTATTACTTTTTTAAAAAATTAATAGCTTTAAAGTTACAGGTGGTTTTTCAGTTACAAGGATGAATTGTATAGTGGTGAAGTATAGGATTTTAGTGCACCCATCACCTGAGTAGTGACCGTTGTATCCAATAGGTAGTTTTTCATCCTTCACTCCCTGCCCACCCCCAACCTTCTAGTCTCCAATGTCCATTGTACCACTCTGCATGCCTTTGCATACCCATAGCTTAGCTCCCACCTGTAAGGGAGAACATGCAGTATCTATGCAGTAGCTGGTTTCAATTCCTGAGTTACTACACTTAGATCAAAAAACTACAGTATCATCCAAGTTCCTGCAAAAGGCATTAGCTCATTCTTTCTTATGACTCAGTAATATTTCATTATATATATGTGTGTAGATTTATATTTACACACCACATTCTCTTTATCCACTCATTTGTTGATGAGCAGTTGGGTTGATTCCATATCTTTGCAATTGTCAGCTGTGCTGCAATATACACATGCAGATGTCTTTTTGATTTCTTTTCCTGTGGGTAGATACTTATTAGTGGGATTGCTGGATCAAATGGTAGATCTACTTTTAGTTGTTTGGGAAATCTCCATGCTGTTTTCCATAGAGATTGTATTCATTTACATTATCACCAGCAGTGTATAAGCATTCTCTTTTCACCACATTGACACCAATATGTATTGTTTTTTGACTTTTCAGTAATGAACATTCTGACTGGGCAAAGTGGTATCTTTTTTTTTAATTATACTATAAGTTCTGGAGAGCACATGCAGAAGGTGCAGGTTTGTTACATAGGTATACACGTGCCACGGTGGTTTGCTACACTCATCACCTGGGTATTTCTCCTAATGCTATCCCTTCCCCAGCCTCCCATCCCCTGACAGGCCCCAGTGTGTGATGCCCCCACCCCCACATCCATGTGTTCTCATTGTTCAACTCCCATTTATGAGTGAGAACATGTGGTGTTTGGTTTTCTGTTCTTGTGTTAGTTTGCTGAGAATTATGGTTTCCAGCTTCATCCATGTCCCTGCAAAGGACATGCACTCATCCTTTTCTTTTATGGCTGCCTAGTATTCCATGGTGTATATGTGCCATATTTTCTTTATCCAGTCTACCATTGATGGGCATTTGAGTTGGCTCCAAGTCTTTGCTATTGTGAACAGTGCCGCAATAAACATACATGTGCATGTGTCTTTATGGTAGAATAATTTATAATCCTTTGGGTATATACCCAGTAATGAGATTGCTGAGTCAAATGCTATTTCTAATTCCAGATCCTTGAGGAGTCACCATACTGTCTTCCACAATGATTGACCTAATTTACACTGCCACCAACAGTGTAAAAGTGTTCCCATTTCTCCACATCCTCTCCAGCATCTATTGTTTTCTGACTTTTTAATGATCACCATTCTAACTGACATGAGATGGTATCTCATTGTGATTTTGATTTACATTTCTTTAATGACCAGTGATGATGAGCTTTTTTTCATATGTTTGTTGGCTACATAAATGTCTTCTTTTGAGAAGTGTCTGTTCATATCCTTTGCTCACTTCTTGATGGGGTTTTGTTTCTTTGTTGTTGTAAATTTAAGTCCTTTATAGATTCTGGATAATTGCCCTTTGTCAGATGGGTAGATTGCAAAAATTTTCTCCCATTCTGTAGGTTGCCTGTTCACTCTGATGATAGTTTCTTTTGCTGTGCAGAAGATCTTTAGTTTAATGAGATCCCATTTGTCAATTTTGGCTTTTGTTGCCATTGCTTTTGGTGTTTTAGTCATGAAGTCTTTGCCCATGCCTATGTCCTGAATGGTATTGCCTAGGTTTTCTTCTAGGGTTTTTATGGTTTTAGATCTTATGTATAAGTTTTAATCCATCTTAAGTTAATTTTTGTATAAGGTGTAAGGAAGGGATCCAGTTTCAGCTTTCTTCATATGGCTAGCCAGTTTTCTCAACAGCATTTATTAAATAGGGAGACCTTTCCCCATTGCTTGTTTTTGTCAGGTTTGTCAAAGATCAGGTGATTGTAGATGTGTGGTGTTATTTCTGAGGCCTCTGTTCTGTTCCATTGGTCTATATCTCTGTTTTGGTACCAGTACCATGCTGTTTTGGTTACTGTAGGCTTGTAGTATAGTTTGAAGTCAAGTAGTGTGAAGCCTCCAGCTTTGTTCTTTTTGCTTAGGATTGTCTTGGCTATGTGGGCTCTTTTTTGGTTCCATATGAACTTTAAAGTAGTTTTTTTTTTTTTTTTTCCAATTCTGTGATGAAAATCAATAGTAGTTTGAGGGGATAGCATTGAATCTATAAATTACTTTGAACAGTATGGCCATTTTCATGATATGGATTCTTCCTATCCATGAGCATGACATGTTTTTCCATTTGTTTTTGTCCTCTCTTATTTCTTTGAGCAGTGGTTTGTAGCTCTCCTCGAAGAGGCCCTTCACATCCCTTGTAAGTTGTATTCCAAGGTATTTTATTTTTTTTGTAGCAATTGTGAAAGGGAGCTCACTCATGATTTGGCTCTCAGTTTGTCTGTTACTGGTGTATAGGAATGCTCGTAATTTTTGGACATTGATATTGTATCCTGAGACTTTGCTGAAGTTGCTTATCAGCTTAAGGAGATTATTAACCTTAAATGTAAATGGGCTAAATACCCCATTTAAAAAACAAAGACTGGCAGATTAGATAAAGAGTCAAGACCCATCGGTGTGCTGCATTCAGGAGACCCATCTCACATGCAAAGACACACATAGGCTCAACATAAAGGGATAGAGGAATATTTACCAAGCAAATAGAAAGCAAAAAAAAGCAGGGCTTGCAATCCTAGTCTCTGATAAAACAGACTTTAAACCAACAAAGATCAAAAGACACAAAGAAGGGCATTCTATAATGGTAAAGGAATCAATGCAACAAGAAGAACTAACTATCCTAAATATATATGCGCCCAATACAGCAGCACCCAGATTCATAAAGCAAGTTCTTAGAGACCTACAAAGAGACTTAGACTCCCACAAAATAATACTAAGAGTTAAATACCCCACTGTCAATATTAGACAGATCAATGAAACAGAAAATTAACAATGTTATTCAGAACTTTAACTCAGCTTTGGACCAAGCAGACCTAATAGACATCTACAGAACTCTCCACCCTGAATCAATAGAATATACATTCTTCTCAGCGCCACATAGTACTTATTCTAAAATTGACCACATAAATGGAAGTAAAACACTCCTCAAAAAATGCAAAAGAATGGAAATCATAATGAACAGTCTCTCAGACCACAGTGCAGTGACGTTAGAACTCAGAATTAAGAAACTCAATCAAAACCGCACAACTACATGGAAACTGAACAACCTGCTCCTGACTGACTATTGGGTAAATAATGAAATGAAGGCAGAAATAAAGATATTCTTTGAAACCAATGAGAACAAAGACACAACATACCAGAATCTCTGGGACACATTTAAAGCAATATGTAGAGGGAAATTTATAGCACTAAATGCCTACAAGAGAAAGCAGCAAAGATCTAAAATCGACATTCTAGCATCACAATTAAAACAACTAGAGAAGCAAGAGCAAACAAATTCAAAAGCTAGCAGAAGACAAGAAATAACTAAGATCAGAGCAGAACTGAAGAAGGTAGAGATATGAAATACCCTTCACAAAAATCAATGAATCCAGGAGCTGGTTTTTTGAAAAGATCAACAAAATAGATAGACCCCTAGCCAGACTAATAAAGAAGAAAAGAGAGAAGAATCAAATAGATGCAATAAAAAATGATAAAGGAGATATCACCACCGATCCCACAAAAATACAAACTACCATCAGAAAATACTATAAACACCTCTACACAAATAAACTAGAAAATCTAGAAGAAATGGATAAATTCCTGGACACATACACCTTCCCAAGACTAAACCAGAAAGAAATTGAATCCCCAAATAGACCAATAACAAGTTCTGAAATTGAGGCAATAATTAATAGCCTACCAACCAAAAAAGTCCTGGACCAGATGGATTCACAGCCAAATTCTACCAGAGGTACAAAGAGGAGCTGGTGCCATTCCTCCTGAAACTATTCAAAACAATAGAAAAAGAGGGAATCCTCCCTAACTAATTTTACGAGGCCAGTATCATCCTGATACCAAAACCTGGCAGAGACACAACAAAAAAAGGAAATTTTAGGCCAATATCCCTGATGAACATCAATGCAAAAATCTTAGACAAAATACTGGCACACCAAATCCAGCAGCACATCAAAAAGCTTATCCACCATGATCAAGTCGGCTTCATCCCTGGGATGCAAGGCTGGTTCAACATACTCAAAACAATAAACATAATTCATCACATAAACAGGACCCATGACAAAAATCACATAATTATCTCAATAGATGCAGAAAAGACCTTCAAAACATTCAACAGCCCTTCATACTAAAAACTCTCAATAAACTAAGTATTGATGAAACGTATCTCAAAATAATAAGAGCTATTTATGATAAACCCACAGCCAATATCATACTGAATGGGCAAAAACTGGAAGCATTCCCTTTGACAACCGGCATAAGGCAAGGATGCCCTCTCTTACCACACCTATTCAAGATAGTATTGGAAGTTCTGGCCAGGGCAATCAGGCAAGAGAAAGAAATAAAAGGTATTTAATTAGGAAAAGAGGAAGTCAAATTGTTTCTTTTTGCAGATGACATGATTGTATATTTAGAAAACCCCATCGTCTCACCCTAAAGTGTTATCTTGATGTGCTTTTAATTTGCATTTCCATGATGATTAATGATGTTGCATGTTTTTCACATGTTTATTAACCATTTGTATATCTTCTTTTGATAAATTCCTATTCTTTTGCTCACTTTTCAATGGAATTATTTGCTTTTGTCTTGCTTATTTGTTTGTATTCCTTGCAGATCAAGAGAGTATCATCTATTTCAGAGATTTGTTTGAAGTATTAACATGATAGTATAAAGTCCTTGGCACACCATCAAGCACATATTAAAACTTCCAAAGATAGTAATTACAAGAATAAATCCCTTTTACAATAGAAATACAAAATAAAATAAAATGCATAGGAACATACTTAACCAAAGACCTGGAAGATCTCTACAAGGAGAACTATAAAACACTGCTGAAAGGAATCTAGATGACCACAACCAAATGAAAATACATCCATGCTCACGGATGTAAAGGGTCAATATCATGAAAATGACCATACCTCCCAAAGCAATCTACAGATTCAGCACAATTACTGACAGAATACCAATATATTTTTTACAGAATTAGAAAAGACAATCCTAAAATTTATGGAGCCAAATAGGGGCCCAAATAGCTAAAGCAATCCTATACGAAAATAATAAATCTGGAGGTATCATATTACCCATTTTTTTTTTTTTTTGAGATGGAGTTTTGCTCTTGTCCCCCAGGGTGGAGTGCAATGGCATGATCTCAGCTCACTAAAACCTCCACCTCCTGGGTTCAAATGATTCATCTGCCTCAGCCTCCCGAGTAGCTGGGATTACAGGCACGCACCACAACACCTGGCTAATTTCTGCATTTTTAGTAGAAACAATGTTTCACCATGTTGGCCAGGCTGGTCTCGAACTCCTGACATCAAGTGAACTGCCTGCCTCAGCCTCCCAAAATGCTAGGATTACAGGCATGAGCCACTGCATTGGCCTATATTACCCAACTTTAAATTAAACTACAAGGCTATAGTAATCAAAACAGCATGTTACTGGTAGAAAATAAGATGCATAGAACAATGTAACAGAATAGAGTTGCCATAGAGAATGTTCAGCAAAAAGTTTAAGAAATAAATTCTGGATCACAAAGTCGTTTGTTGGTAAAATGGAGATTAAAACCTAGATATATCTGATTCCAGTGGCTGAAATTATACTCCTGAAATTACTATTAAGCTATACCACATAGAGAAAAGAGATTCTTTGAAATAAGTTGTTTTCCCAACAGTAATTAGTCTACTATGATTTACTGAAATTTCTTGCCCAGTACTATACTTATGATTACTTTTTAAAATCCAGTGCTATGAATATGTTTGAAGCTTGGTATGCAGCAAAGTTGATCCTCAGTCTATAGGAATTATTGACAGATCATGAATATGCTTTATCTGTGCAGTTAAAATAACTAAATTTGTTTAAAAATAAGGTATAGTAAGTCAGAAAGGTAAAGGTTTATTCAGTATCAGATTCCTCAAGAATGCAGTGATATAAAATTGTATACTATTTACAAAATTCTCTTGTTTACTGACTGTTGGAAAGCACATTGAGAAACTTTTATTATCTATTTACAGCTTATTCATAGTATTCAAAGAAACTAACATAATGTCTACTGATATGGTAGGTTTTGTGTCCCCACCCAAACCTCATCTTGAATTAAAATCCTCGTAATCCCTAAGTGTCAAGGAAAGGACAGGTAAAGGTAATTGGATCATAGGGGCAGTTTTCCTCATGTTGTTCTTGTGATAGTGAGTGAGTTCTAATGAGATCTGATGGTTTTATAAGGGACTCTTTATAAGGCCATATAATTTAAAGTACACTGAAAAATAAGAAAAACAAGCAAATGAAAATATATTAGAGGAGGAGATATAAAATTAGGCAGATGAATGAAGGTGCATAAAAACATGACATCTATTACGCAGAAGTCACTGATCATTTCAACCATCATATAGGAATATAATAATGACCTTCACATGAAGAGCTGAGCCTATGTCCAGAAAATAATTGAGGACTGATGACTATACATTAGTATAGTGATACTTTTTATGACTAATAGAAACACATTAAGTTGTTGGAAATCTTCTTACTTTATTGATACAAATGACTAAGAACAAATTCAATTAAAAATAAACATTATGCCTTTATTTTCCTCTCTGCTATATCATATAAATAGATTATCATACAACTTCAAACATGAAGCACACAAATTTGTAATGGAAACTTAAACAAATAGTAGATTTAATAATTTTTATAATTTAATAAAGTGAATTACTTGATTATTTTAGCTTAATAACCAAGCATCAGTCCAAAATAAATGTTCTAAATGTTGAGGATTACTTCGTGTCTATTTTAAAATTAATATGGAGGCATATCTCAGAGACATTACAGGTTTCATACCACCACAATAAATTTAATAGAGCACTAAAGCAAGTCACCCAAATGTTTTGGTTTTCCAGTGTATATAAAAGTTGCATTTACATTATACTGTAGTCTATTAAGTGATCAATAGCATTATGCCTAAAAAAGACAAGTTACATACATTAATTAAAAACACTGCTAAAAATGCTAAAGATCATCTGAGCCTTTAGAGAGTCATAATCTTTTTGCTGTTGGCAGACTTTGTCTCCACGTTGATGACTGCTGACTGATGAGAGTGGTGGTTGCAGAAGATTGAGTGACTGTGGCAATTTCTACAAATAAGACAAAATAAAGTTTTCCACATCAACTGACTTCCTTTCATGAAATATTTCTCTGTCATATGTGATGCTGTTTTACAACATTTTATGCATAGTAGAAGTTATTTCAAAATTGGAGTCAATTATTTCAAACTTTGCCACTACTTTATTAACTAAGTTTATATAATATTTAAATACTTTGTTGTCATTTCAACAGTGTTCACATCATGATCACCAGTAGAGACCATCTCAAGAAACCACATTATCTACTCATTCATAAGAAGCTCCCCCTGTCAAGTTTTATGCTGATATTGTAGGAATTCAGTCACATCTTCAGGCTCCACCTCTAATTCTAGTTCTCTTACTGTTTCTACCACATCTGCACTTACTTCCTCCACTGGTCTTGAATTCCTCAAAATCATCCATGAGAGATGGAATCAACTTCTTCCAAATTGCTGTGAATGTTGATAGTTTTACCTCCCCCAAGAATCATTTATGTTCTTAATAGCATCTAGAATTATAAATCTTTTCCAGAATGTTTTCAATTTACTTTGCTCACAGCCATCAGAGGAATCACTCTCTATAGCAGCTGTAGCCTTACAAAATATATTTCTTAAATAAGACTTGAAATTTCTCCTTGATTAATGGCTGTATAATGGATGTTGTGTTAATAGGCATGAAAACAACATTTATTTCCTTGTACATCTCGGTCAGAGCTCACGGGTGACTAGATGCATTGTCAATGAGCAGTGATAATCGAAAGGGTAATATTTCTAGTGAGAAGTAGTTTCAAAAGTGGGCTTAAACTATTAACCAAACCCTGCTAAAAACAGGTATGTTGCTATCCATGCTTTGTTCTTCCATTTACAGACCACAGGCAAGGTAGACTTTGCATAATTCTTAAGGGTGTTAGGATTTTCAAATGGTAAATAAACACTGACTTCAGCTTAAAGTGGCTAGATGGATTACCTCTCGTAACAAGAGAGTTAATCTGTCCCTTGAAACTTGGAAGCAAGTAATTGACTTCTCCTCTCCCGCTATGAAAGTTCTAGATGGCATCTTCTTTCAATATACGAGTGTTATATATGTATTGAAAATCTATTGTTTAGTGTAGCCACCTTTATCAATTATCTTAGCTAGATCTTCTGGATAACTTGCTGCAGCTTCTCCATTAGCATGTGATGCTTCACCTTACACTTTTATTTTCTTTTATGTTATGGAGATGGTTTCATTCCTTCATTCCTTGAATCTCATGAACCAACCTCAGCTAGCTTCAAACTTTTCTTCTGCAGCTTCATCAACTCTTAAGCCCCTTATAGAATTGAAGAGCATTAGGGCTTTGCTCTAGATTGCGATTTGGCTTAAGTGAGTGTTGTGTCTGGTTTGATCTTCTATTCAGACCATTAAAAGTTTCTTCATATTAGAAATAAAACTGTTTCACTTCCTTATCATTTGTATGTTCACTAAAGTAGCACTTTAAATTTCCTTCAAAAACTTTTTCTTTGCATTTACAAATTACTAATTGGTACAAGAGGCCTAGTTTTTGGTCTGCCTTGGCTTTTTACATGCCTTTCTCACAAAACTTAATTATTTATAGCTTTTGGTTTAAAGTGAAATATATGCAACTCTTCCTTTCACTGGAACACTTAAATGTCATTATAGGGTTATTAATTGGCACAATTTCAATATTGTTGTTTCTTAGGGAATGGGGAGGCTAGAGGAAAGGGAAAGAGACAACAGAATGACTGGTCTGTGGAGCTGTCAGAACACATAACAGTTATCAATTAAGTTTACAGTCTTATATGGGTGTGGTTTGTGGTCCTCCAGAACAGTTACAATTGTAATACCAAGGATCACTCTAACAGATATAATAGCGATGAAAAAATTTGAAATACTGTGAGAATTACCAAAAGGTGACACAGAGACATGAAGTGAGTACCTCCTTTTGTAAAAATGGTGCCTATAGACTTGCTGGATGCAGGGTTACCATAAACCTTCAATTTGTTAAAAAAAAAAAAAAAAAGGATACTTGTGTCATGCAATAAAGCAAACTGCAATAACACAAGGTATACTTCTATACAATTAGAAATCAATGAAGTAACTTTAATCCTAACCAGTCAGTATTTGTTCATTTGTTTATTCAGAAAAATTGTACACGACAGTAATGGTCACAGCATAAAAACTCAGTTTAACATCTTATAATAAAGTAAGTATTATCTTTGATCTAGATGTTAGAACTAATCACTTTTTTCTAGAATAATTAAAGATTTAAATCTTGTAACTTATTTTTTCTTGTCATTTGGATGTTAGATAGTTCTTTATTCATTCTGTAACCCATGTTTATTAAGTAGAAATCACCTCTTATTATAAAACCTATATATCAAGCATACCAGGCCTTATCTTCTTTTTCTAAACTATTTTTTTGCTTACTTCTTTTAATTTCATTTTACTGTTATAGTGTGTGCATATTTTCACATTACCATATTTTAGAACAAGGCACAAAGCAAATTTTTGCAAACAAATCTAACAGGCAATGAATATATGATTGCAGACAACAAGAAAAGTAATTGGTGGAATGTGTTTCTAAATCAGATTCTTCTTCCTGTATTTTTTCACACCATTAGAATCTGAAGAAATAAGGCTTGTTTCTTCCATCACAATTCTCTCCCTGCTTCTCCTCACTGTGCTTTTGTTAGTAGAATTTATAAAACTCAGTTGACTTGATAAATATAGAAAAGAAATGTATACTATAACTAAATTAAACCTATTTATGTTTTTTAAAGGGGAAGAATGGAACATACATTATATTTTTATTTTTTAACAATCAAAACAAATGACCCTCCTGTAGGAATTGTGCCTTTGCTATGGTATCAATAAGGGTTGTTCCGTGTCAAAGCATTATCAACATGTGGCCTTTCCTTCCCTTTTTCCTTTATTTCTGTATGTATGATTATAAAGAAGATATTGTCATCTTATATTTCTCCACACTTTCAGTAGAGATCCAATGGAATAAGTAAATTAAAATATAAGATATTATGAATAAACATTTGGTTAGAGAGAAATTGATATATATTTTTATACTTCTCTTCAAAAATTGATCTATTAATATAAACTAAAATTTAATTTTGATTAGGTATAGATTTATTACAGAACAATTTCTCCTCATTCTGTCTGCAATTCTAATACATTTCTTAGAAGCATTTATTCATTCATTCAACAAATATTTATTAAGGATCTTCTCCATTGCAAAATGATTTTAGAGGGAAGGGGCAGAGATTATTGTTATATATCCCCATATCATCTCTCTTATTTTTTCTGGCAGATGCTACCAGCTTTAGAGTCTAGACTCTCCAGCCTCCAATGGAGCTATGAGTTGCAAAGTGACTAAGTTTTCACCTTATTACATACAGTTAGAAGTGAAGTGGTACATGCATTTCTGCATCATCTTCTCTGTTTTGTTGTTGAGAAATAACTGCAAAATTTAATGGTGGGAATGATAGAGAAGAACACCATAGAAAATCAAAGACTGAGGATGTCAGAGCCACAAGAGTCTCAAAGAAAAATGTGTCTATTTTACAAAAAATTCAATTTACTGTGAGTAATACATGATGTGATAAAGCAGTCAAGGTACCAGATGAAAATTTTGCTCTCATGAAGTTTATATTCCCATGGAAGAAACAGATCTTAAAAGAGATGAATACACAAATAAATACTATTTTAGTTGGCAATGATGCTACTAAAAAAACAAAAACAAATAGGAAAAAAATGTAGAAAAACAAATTAGAGGACAGATAAAATTTTTGAAAGGAGTTTATGGCGGACTCCTTCCTATAGGAGGTACTATAAACTATAACAGATATAAACAGGGATTTAAGATATAAGCACATGGATATCTAGGAGAACTGGGAAAAAAACCTTCTTGTTATGAAATTAGACATCTGGAATATCCAGTTTTCAAAAAACATTGCACATGAATGTTAAGCAACCATTTAGAGCTGGATAGCGCTCTCAAGTAGTACATTTACATATGTCTGCATGTGCATGAAATATTAATAATTCTTTAACCTTTCAGAGATACTCAAAGCTATTATCATAAATGGGTATAATGTTTAGGTCACTAAACAGACTCTGTTGGCTGCTTCAGACGAAGAAAATTTGTGATGAATATTTAGGTTTTACCCACATTTGGATTCATAACTATTCAGATTAAGGAAGGAATAGAGTGGTATATTTATATTATTAATCTCTTCTATTTTAATTTGCTATCTTCAGTTTTTTATTCTTAGGGCATATGCAAAATATTATTTTATAAACATTTATTTTTCTCCACTGAGAATACGTAGGAAGAAAGATATTTCAATGTTCATTCATTACCACAGATTTGTCCAGCAAAATGTCAAGAATTATTAGAAAACTGTAGAATTAAAACAGTGATGTATTGTTTAAAGAATAAATACACAGAGTAGAACAACAGGAAATACTGATCTGTGCATATGTCAAAAACATAAATATTAGACCTGGTTTTTATAGCTCATTGCAGAAGAGGTGGATTGATATGTGATTTCTTCTGTAAGACAGTGTATCTATGTAGAGAAAAATTAAAATGGGTCACAAACTGACAAAATAAAGCCAAATCAATTCAAGACGAATTAAGGAATTAAGTGCCAAAATTAAAACTTTGAAGCTTTTAGAAAAAAATAAGTATTTTTGTCAAAGCCATTCAACAAGTCTCTAGGAAGTTCCAAACTTTCCCACATTTTTCTATCTTTTTCTGAGGCCTCCTAACTGTTCCAGCCTCTGCCTGTTACCCAGTTCCAAAGTCGCTCCCACATTTTCGGGTATCTTTACAGCAGCACCCCACCCAGTACCAATTTATTGTATTAATCCTTTCTCGTGCTGCCTTAAGGCCATATCCAAGACTGGGGAATTTATAAGGAAAGGAAGTTTAATCCACTCTCAGTTTCACAGGGTTGGGGAGGCCTCAGAAAACTTAAAATCATGGCAGAAGGGGAAGCTAACACATCTTTCTTCACATGGTGGCAGCAAGGGAAAGAGTTGAGCCAAAGGGGAAAAATCTCCTTATAAAACCATCAGATCTCATGAGAACTCACTCACCAACATGAGAACAGCAGCATGGGGTCAACTGTCCCCATGATTCAATTACCTTTCACCCGGTCTCTCCCACAATATGTGGGGATTATTGGAACTACAATTCAAGATGAAATTTGAGTGGGAACACAGCCATATCACCTCCTTTTTATTTGTATTTCAAAATTAAAAAAAATACATTTCATATATATGTTATATATATAAATGTCCAGAATTAAAATATAAATCATAAGTAACAATTAAAATTCTAAATTAAGCTAAAGAAAATAATTTAATAATCTAACTAATTTAAACTAAGATGAAATAACTGAAAATAATGAATTTTATATTATTAAATATTTTTAAAAGTTTACCCTATTCTGTATATCTAGCTAAGCAAACAGCAATGTTTACTAATCAAACCTATTATTACTTCTTGCCACTTTTAAAAATTATTTTTTTCTGTTTGTATAATTTTCATATATCCTGCTAGAATATAACATTTTTTCATGGCAGGAAATATGTCCTACTTAGCTCACCCTAAATTTCACAAAACCAGGCTTAGGGGTTTCCAGTAGTTGGTGTGAACAGATAATGCCATTGTTTGATGCTCACCCCTCCCAAGCACAAAGGTCACCTTGGCCCCTCCTTTGCATCTTCCCAGACCTTCTTGGAACCATAATGTGAGAAGAAAGAATTCAGGCCTAGTACAGTAAAGGTCGTCCTCCCGGATCCTGCTGGAACATGGTAGCAGATGGCCACTTTGATTTCTCATTATCTATAGCATGCTGGTTGTTAAATATATTGAAAACAATCCCTTAAAAGAAGTGTTGCTCATACATTTGCTGTTTAATTATTATATCTGAATATACTTATAAAAATATGTTATACAAAGAACATAAGCCAACAAAGCTATTACTACATAAAAAGCCTTCCAAAGTATCCTTCTTTTAAAAATACTGTTACTTGGTAATAGAAAAAATTTCAACTTTAAAAGTCAAAATACACACTATGTTTCAACAGGCTTCACTGGTTTTGGAAAAAGTATGATATGCTTGAAATAGTGACAAAAATAATTTTTTCTTTAAACTAGAACTTGAGGATCTGACCTTATCACTGTAATTTACAAGCTGTTTTAAATGAGATAATTCACCAAATGTACATGGTCTGCACAGGAGTGCTAATGAGAGTTTGCATAAATATTATTATTATTACTTCCTTAGTGAGAAATCAGTTTGCTAATTTTTTATCTTGCTCATTCTCATGCTAACATTGTTCTGCTTTGGTGAGTTTACAGTTTATCATGGGAGGAAGCACACTTCTAAATGATTGCACAAATGTGTGCACATTCAACTGTGACAAGCAATCTGAAGAAAAGGTACATAGTGCACTAAAGGCCTATTAACAGTGAAGTTGACCTAGTCAAGAAGTCAGCTAGGATTCCCATGAAAAAGTGAAGCTTAGCAAGACATATAGGTTACTGGGAAAAGCTGACAAAAATATCAAAAAAAAAAAAAGGAAAAGAAATTCAGGAAGCCCATGGACTTTTGGAGAGAGCAGAGCACATAGAAAATGAAGAGCTGAGGAGGCTTAGCATGAGGAGAGGATGAAACGCTGGCAGTGCACAGATGTTACAGCACTTCTTAAGCTATGATAAGGTCGATCTTTTTGCCTGTATTTGGTCTCCATCAACCAAAAGTGTAAAGATTTCATTAAGAAAGAATTTAAAGTTGTTCTGAAACTATAATGTGAGTCAGAATCACCTGGTAGGCTTGTTAAACAACAAACAGTGGAGTCCTATCTCTAGAGTTTCTGATTCAGAGTTTCTGGGCTGGAGTCCAAGAATTTGCATTTCTAACAAGTTCCCAATGATGCTGATGCTGCTGGTCTGGTGACAGCACTTTGAGAAACACCCATCTACACCAACCTAACTACAGAAATTAGTGTCCCAGCTATCTAATGCTGCCTAACAAATCTCTCAAAAACTTAGTAACTTAGAACAATTTATTATGATATCTCATGTCTCCGTGGGTTGGCTTAGCTTGTGTAAATTGTTCTCACTTTAGGTGTCTCAGACAGCAGCCATCATTTGGCAAATGGACCTAGAGTTACCTGAAGATTCAACTGAAGAGGACATTCAATGTGGCTTTCTAAAGATTGTAAATTGACAATTTGTAATTGTATAAACTTATGGAGTACAATGTGATGTTGTAATTTATGATCCAATGTGAAATAATTAAATCAAACTATTAACATATCCATCATCTCAAATATTTGAGTATAGTCACCATAGAAAACAATATGCAGATTTCTCAAAAAATAAAAAATACAATTACTATATGATCCAGCAATATTATTTCTGGGTATTTACCCAAAAGATTGGAAATCAGTTTGTCGAAGAGATTTCTGCTGTCTCATATTTATTGTAGCACTATTAACAGTAGCGAAGATATGAAATTAGCCTAATGTCCAACAAAAAATGAATAGATAAAGCAAATGTAGTATATATACACAATGGAATACTGATCATCCTTAAAAACAACGTGGCTTCTTTACTTATATGTCTGACACCTGGTTTGGAATAGCTGGGTTGGCTGGAATTTCAAGACTCTCTCTCTGTCTCTCTCCCTGTGACCACTCCCAGTGACTGGTTTGGCCCATCCTGCCATCCTGCCATCCTGCCATCACAGGATTGCAATCTCAGGTTAATTAGACTTCTTACATGTCAGCTGGCTTTTCCACAAAAAAAGAGCATTCCAAAGATCCAGGCAGAAGCTGCATGGGTGCTTATAATCTACTCAGAGAAGTAATGCAGTATTGTTTCTGCAACATTCTATTTGTCAAAGGCTAATCATCAAATAAATAAGTACATAAATAATTTAAAACAAACAAAAGCACAAGTAACAGGGTATATTAGTTTTCTAGTGCGATTGTAACAAAGTACCACAAACTTAGTGGCTTAGAAAACGTAAATTTTTTTTTTCCCTCTGCAGGCTGGGAATTCTAGATCAAGGTATGAAGACAGCCAGTTCCTAGATTCAGAGCCATGAGGAAGAATCCATTCTGTGACTTTTCCCTAGCTTCTGATGTTTGTCTGGCAATCTTTGGCATTCTTTGGCTCGTAGACCTCTGTTTTCATCTTCTCAAGAAAATTTCCCTGTATGTTTGTCTAGGTCTAATTTTTCCTTTTTATAGAACACCAGTAAGATTGGACTGGAGCTCACGCTAATGACCTCACTTTAACTTCATTATCTCTATAAAGACCCTATCTCCAAATAAAGATACATTCTGAGATGTTTGGGGTTACGACGTCAATATATGAATTTTGGGGGGGGACACAATTCAACCCATAACATAGGGCTACCCCTAATTCAGAGAGGGAATACACAAGGATATGGCAGTTTTAGTTCATTTGTTGAATCAGACTTGCATATTAACTACTACATTTTTATATTTTGAAATAATTCTAGGTGACAGGGATGTATAAGCAGAAATTGCAAAAATTCCTGGCCAATATGGTGAAACCCCATCTCTACTAAAAAAAATACAAAAATTAGCTGGATGTGGTGGTGTGCACCTGTAGTCCCAGCTACTCGGGAGGCTGAGGGAGGAGAATCACTTGAACCCAGGAGGCGGATGTTGCAGCGAGCCGAGATTGTGCCACTGCACTCCAGCCTGGTGATAAAGCCAGAGTTTGTCTAAAAAAAAAAAAAATCGCAAAAATTATTTGAATATATACATTAAATATTTCAGCTATTCTTGTATTAACTTCACTCACTCACCCTTTTTTAAATAAGAGACTAGTATTTACTGATCATTTACAAGTGCCAATTATAAACTCAAACACCAGGGTGACAGACAATCAAAACAAAAGATCTGTTCTTTCTACATTAAAAGGGGAAAAATAAAAGCTTTAATCTTTTAAAATATTGCCATTGGCATTATAAGCTGTTAAACATGGAAATAAAATAGTGGAAAAATGTATTACTTTTAATTGTATACAACTGTGGTTTAAAATATCTCCCTTCCTTGGTTCTGAAATACCATGCCCTACCTTAATTTTCCTTCAAATGCTGGTAAAAAAATTATGTTAGAATGAAAAATAAATTACTAAAAATATTTTCTCTTATCATTGACAAAACTTCAGTCTTATAGTTAGCATAATGTAATAATATTTAGAAACAGATTACTACATTAAATTTGTATTCCTAATCAGTTAAAATTATTTAAAAAGAGATTTCCCACTGAAAATTCAGAAAATTTACCTATATATAAAATGTTTTAAAACATTTATTTAGTTGTGGGGTGCATGATAAAATGAGAATTTAATACTTTCCTTAAGAAAATAAATATGTGAAATATAATCCTTGTATGCATATTACTGAAAATAATTTTGCTCATGCTCTTATTTACAGTCATAGATTCAATTCAGTTCAATGTATTAGATAAACTATTCACTGGCACTTATACACAGCTCCTGGTTTAAGAGCTGGTGCTCTAGCAATGAGCAAAAATAGGTATATTCTACCCTTCTTGGAGTAAATTTTCCAATAGAAGAAGAAATATTCAAAAGCTAGTGTAGGCCTGTCATAGTGGCTCACACTTGTAACCCCAGCACAGCACTCTTTTTTTTTTTTTTTTTTTTTTTTTGAGATGAATTCTCGCTCTGTTGCCCAGGCTGGAGTGCAGTGGCCTCCCAGGTTCAAGTGATTCTCCTGTCTCAGCCTCCCAAGTAGCTGGGATTACAGGCATGCACTACCATGCACAGCTAATTTTTGTATTTGTTTAGTAGAGACGGGGTTTCCCTATGTATGCCAGGCAGGTCTCAAACTATTGACCTCAAATGATCTACCCACCTTGGCCTCCCAAAGTGCTGGGATTACAGGTGTGAGCCACCGTGCCTGGCCCTGTAATCCAGCACTTTGGCAGGCCAAGGTAGAAAGATCACTGGAGACCAGAAGTCTGAGACCAACCTGTAAGACCTGTAAGAGTAAGACCCCTTTTCTTAAAAAAAAAAAAAAAAAAAAAAAAATTACATAATTAGCTGGGTTCTAGCTACACAGCAGGTTAAGGTGACAAAATCGTTTGAGCCTAGGAGTTCAAGTCTGCAATGGCAAGATTCTGTCTCCAAAAAAAAAAAAAAAGCTAGTTTATTATAAAGACAGTACATGTTTAAAAAGTTCATGTTCAATAAGAACTTATTAAAAAAAATCTTTTAAAAAATATATTGAATCTGAGAACTAAAGGATGTAAATCGTGTTATGAAGTGAATTGTTTCCCCCAGAATTCATTTCTTTGAAGCCTATAACCCCCAATATCACTAGAGAGTTGGAGAAAGGGCCTTAAAAAGGAAATTAAAGTTAAATGAGGTTATGATAGGGTCCTAATCCAATAGGACTGTTGTTCTTGTAAGAAGAGAAACAGATACCAGACAGCTCTCCCTCTTCACCCATGAACATTGGCAGAAGAGAGGCCATGTGAAAACAAAGCAAGAAGGTGGCCATCTGCAGGTCAGGAAGAGTAGCCGCACCAAAAATCAACACTGATAAGACCTTGATTCTGATCTTCTAGCCTCTGGATCTGTGAGAAATTAAATATCTGTTGTTTAAGACACTGAGTTTGTTATATTTTTGTTATGGCGCCCAAGTAGACCAAGACAAGTGGGGAAAATGAGGTTCTATACACAGGAGAGTTTTGGAGAGGGCTTTCCAGAGAGTTGATGAACTATGTAAATATTCAGAGCTGACAGAATCTTTAAGTAGAACTGAAAGAATTCAAACCTAAGAGAGAGTTTGAAAAATGCACCTGGAGAAACAGAGACCAGATCAAGAAAGGATGTTCAGATTATTCACTATTGGTTAGTAGACTTACTTTGTCATGCCTGTACGTAGTATGCAAGAACTTGCTTTTACATGAATCAGATTCCTTTTCATTATACAAACTACTTAATGTATTTTTGTTATTGATCATAATTAATAGTGTTGAAATCAATTTATTTTTAAAGTGTATGTGATTTTTAGATTTATAAGTTTTTTTCTCCAAAATCTGCAGCAAAACTTTCTTCAATTACTTATTCCAAATAAAATATAAATTTGGAAAAATCATATTCATGTATTCACATAGTTACAAGCTTTATAAGGAGATCTGTGACTTCTTACTCTTGTTCCTAAGAATAATAATATTCTTTATTCAGTGTAAAGATGATAAAAATCAATACATTATTCAGTATTTTCAAAAGGAAAACAAAATAGATTATCTAACCAAAACACCCTCTTTTGTTTCTTAATTTACATGTTTTTTAAAAAAATATAATTCATAATACTGGCTTTTTTAAAAGCCTAAATAAATAAGGAGAAATGCAATTGAAATTGGGAATACATTTAAAAAGTGAAAAATAATAAATAATTTTAATTTATAAAGATATGTAGAATAGGGCACATACATTTTCACAACCACTTAATCCAGAGAAGAATCAAAGAAGACCACTTTTATAATACTTTTCCAGATCAGGAACTGCTGTAAAAGTAAGTTATTCTGAGAGAACTCTGGGAAGATGATGGAGTAGGAAGCACCAGGAAGCTGTCTCCCCACATACACAACAATCGCACTGAAAGTCTGTCTGGAATTTTGAATTATATTACAGGCTTATAACTTCCAATAAAAGTTTAGACTTGGTAAATTGCATTTAATTTCAGTCCATTTTGGATCTTAGCATAGAGCAGCCATTCCTCATGCCTCAGTGTCAGATGACTGTGCACATATTCCTAGAACAGCTTGCCTAAATCTTGCAGAATCAGAGTGGGCAATAAGGGCTCTGTCTTCCAAATACCTAGGTCTGTGTTCTACTTGCTTATTGCTGCTTCTGATAACAGGTGCAGACACAGTGTTGGGCATTGTTGCAAGTCCCTTTCTTTCTGGCTAAATCAACTTCCAGGAGATCTAAGGAGCTGAAAGTCTTTTCCCCCTTAATTTTTCTTTCCCCAACCCTTTTGGAATCCTGATATTAATTAATCCTGATATTAATTAATTAATATCAAATCTTTAAAGACTAAAATATAGTATTCAAATTTTAAAGACTAAAATATTAAAAAATAAAGAACATAATAAGCAAACAAAACATTCCCCCAAAACTCCTGCATATATGGGGAAAAATAGAAAGTCACTGTGCATGCCCCGGGAAAAGCATAGAAGACATGAGAATATCTTAAGGCTACACCTCAAGCTGATGTGGAGCTTAAAGACAGTCTATAATCATCAAAAACAAAACTAAACTAAATAAATCCCAAAAGTAATAAACCCTAAGGAGAGGGTGATAGTCGAGTTACTATATTATTATATTCAACTTCATGATGGAAAACAGGGAATAAAGGAAATAAAAAAAAAACTAAACTAATAATTAAGGAAAGGACTCTATTGATAAAAGAGGGGTCTTGTAAATTATGAGCCAGTTAAGAAAATATTTATCTTCTATGAATTTACATTACACAGTCCTGGTAGCAGTCCAATGCTTCTGTGTGCGTGTGTGCGTGCATGCATGTGTGTGTGTGTTTTATTCGTAACGTCTTTGCCTCCTAAATATATTTGGTGTGTCAGATTCCATCACTGAAGATTTTGGGGATGTTATCAAAACTGAATGCGGCTAATTTAGGGAAATATGCTAATTAAATGTATTTGAGTACCGAGTATATGAAGATTTTATTTATTAAGAACTTGGATACTGGGGCAAACAGTATTAAAACTGGTAGTGAAAAATTAAAGTGACTGAACAGAATAAATAGAGTTTGGGAAAGAGCAGAAATTCAGGATAAGGAAGCCGGGTTAGCAGCATTCATAATCTGGCAATTGTAACCTATCAAAAGTAACTGATGGGTTTTTTTCTAGACTTGGAAAATGCTGTATTTAGCCACAGCTATAAAATTTCTGCTCCTGTGTAGCATTAAAAAATTGCCTCCAATACCTCAGTTAAGTTTGATATAGCTGTCTGTTAGTATTGTGGAGAATAAAGACAAAGAAGGCAAGGAAAGTCTAGCTTATTTTACATGAAGCTCATTAACTTGCAGTAAAGGAACAGTAACTAATGAGGAAATGGTGTCTAGAAGTTTCAAGAAGAGCATTAATGAAGCCAAAGGCAGAAAAAAATGTCTAGAACAGGGAAATATAAAATTGAGAAGCAACATCTAAATGGACCATTCAAAATAAATATGATATGGTGGCTCATTTTTAAGTATGTACTAGAAGAAACTCACATTAGAAAATTTAAAGTAGGTGTGAAGGAGCAGACTATTTGGATTACAATAGCTGATACTATAATAGCTAATTATGGTCCTTAACTAGACACCTCTGTGTCCTACCTCAGATCATTGAGAACACCTTTTACATCAATCATTTTTTAGGATAACAGCTTGGGACAGCTGTAAACTGATTGGAGCTCCTCTCAAAATTACTTTATGTTTACTTTCTGTCCCAGGACCTTTCTGATGGAGACACTATGGGAACTAGTGCAAAGAACCATGCATGATCAAACCTGAAAGCGCAAGCTATTAATACATCACAGGGCAACTTTTGACCTAGAAAGGATGGGATTTTGTAGATTTCCTTCTATCCACCCCAGGAAACAATCTGTGCCACCTTCTACACAGGTCCTTGTGGGTTCTAGTGGAAATGAGCCCCCAGTTGCTCTTTTGATGGTTAGCTTAATAATTGTTTATTTCATTTACCCAGCTTCCTATTCTTCTTTCTTAAGATTACTTCCTTAAATAAACTACCTGTATATGTGATTGTGATATGTGATGTTGTTCATGTGTCAAACTGTTTTATTTTGCTTTTTTTGTGGGAAAGAATGTTGAAACTTAAATAAGAGGTATAATTTATGAAGCAATTACTATATCCTGGGACATACAAGCCTTGGGCTGCCATAATTGCTATATTCCTAGTTCAACTTAGAAGAACAAGCTTTTCACTTTATTTTGTAAATTCTTGTGTGCCCAAATGAAGTAGTTAGTTAGGACTTGTGAGGAAATATGAAATTACAACAGTACAATATATTGAACACTCTGACAGGAAAAGCAATAGAATAGCAATATCCTAAGTAGTTGTCAATTATATATAACTATATTATGAGATTATATACCCATACCTATACCTATATTTATAATCTCTTTTTAAAATCTATCTTTAAATTCCACTAGGAGGTTTTCACTAGTATCTCCCTGGGATGATCTGTTTGGCCTAATGTATAGTTCCAGAATTCCATATCCACCAACTTGTATGAACATACCATTATAATACAGGAACAGGTTGGTGTTGTAGGCTAGTACTTATTCAAGGAATAGTGGTGTCAGAGACATTCAAACCAGAGCAACTCCATCTTGAGTGAGGGCCAGGAAAATGAGGCTGGGGCTTGCTGGTTTCCCTCCCCAGAAAGTTGGCATTCCTAGCTTCTAGATGTTTAAGGTTAAGGGAACAAATGAGTAATGTTTACTAAACAGACTCAGACCTGGGTGTGTCCAGATATCCTAATATCTGGAGAACAAAGGCATTCCTAATTTTGCTTTAAAGATAATAACATTGATTGTTTCAAAATACAGTAATTAAGAAAATTAATCCTTCATCACAAACCCTTGTAGCAGAGCACATCTTCCATGATCTTTTTATCCTATATAAACAAGCATTGTACCTAGGGTGGACGCCATTCCTCCTCTTGCTTTCAGGAACATCCCACTCTATCTACGGAATAGCTGTACTTTCACTACTTTACTTTCTTAATAAACTTGCCTTTACTTTGCACTGCGGACTCACCCTGAATTCTTTCTTGCATGAGATCCAAGAATCCTCTCTTGGGGTCTGGGTAGGGACTCCTTTCCTGTAACAGTAGTTGTTGTAATACCTAGTTGTGGTAGTAGCTAGTATTATTCAAGGAATATTTCAGCTCTTAACTTGAGAAATAATACAGTTGATTTATACATTCTGGCCACTTGATAGGTGAGTGGGTGTGAGAAACACGTGATGTTAGTTCTGGTTGTCTGTCATCTCTAAGTCAAACATTTATTTTCTAGAATGACATCTTTAAGTTCTCTGTTTTACCCTGGTACATAACTGCCAACCCCAGTGTCTCTTTCATCAATCTTGGGTTGTAAATGACTAATGACTATGATAAGCAGGAACCTCCTAAAGATCTGAAAATCTGTGATAGACATGTAGATTCAACATGTATTGTTTAAAACTACTAAGATTCTAGGGTTGTCTATTAGCATAATACAAACCAGACTGATACACCTATGCAGTTGTTCCTTAGTGATAAACTATTTGCATTTTTCACATCATCTTTAATTATTAATATGTTTTTGTAATGAAAACTATGAGAATAATCAGATATTTATTTTCTGCTATAACTTATAGCTACCGATTGTCATTTAAGGTGTTTTTCTTCTCTGGTAGTGCTCTACTATGTTGTTGCTAATTCAATTCTCCAAATTAAGTATTTCATTGCAGCCAACTTATTTGATGGAAATCAGTTTCCTGCTTTATTCAAATGAAGAAACAGAAAGTTATAAAGAGGCATTTTTATATTTTCTAATAGATGAACCCCAAAAGAAGCATCAAAATATTTTCTGGAATTCAGCAATTTCAGTTATTCATGTGTTTATGTATGTTGTCAATTAATTGATACTGCTTACCAAAATGTAAATGTTTTCAATTCATCCCTTGTCATTTAGTAACAAATCCAATGAATGCTAATGCCCAATATTGAAATTATGAGTTAGGCTGACAAACAGATTCCTTCTCTCATTCTTTATTCAACTTCATTCATATGGCAATAATTATCCTCTAAGCCATATTTCTCTAATTTTTATTTAAATGTTGTTTCAATGGAAGGATACTTGCATTTGAAACATTTATGCATACTATTCAAATTAAGTCATTTCCAACCCAAGTGATCACATTCCTTTATAGCACCAATGACAAATCACACTTGGAAGGGAAATAACACAAAAAATGTCAGGAGTGAGTCAAGCATTTTATAAAATATTGAAAGGAGAATACCACTAATCTATTTATTTACTCTGAATTCAATAAAGAAATCAAATTGGAGTTACTTTAAGAAATAAATTTGAAGCCATCTGTAGTTTCATTCATAGTTTCCTACTTTTTACTCATAATCATCAATTAATTATATTTTAATTTATATGGAGAAAATTTTTTCTTAGAATAGAAAATTGTTGTATATGATCACCAATAAAAAGGCATTTAAAATGAAATTTCAATGAACGTAAACAATGTGCTTTGAATAAATCAGTAGAATAACCTGGCAAAAGAGAAAGAAAATCTTTGTATCCATAGATATCCAAACATAGTATATACAAATATTTGAAAGAAGGGTGAAAGTACATATGAAAACAAATAAGGGAACAACAGACATGGGAGACTCCTTGAAGGTGGGTGGAGGTAAGAGGGTGAGCATTGAAAAAGTACCTGTTGGGTACTATGCTTATTACCTGGGTGGCAAAATAATTTGGACACCAAATGCCTGTGATATGTAATTTATCTATATAACAAACCTGCACATATACCATTTTCATGCGCATCAGTGTGAAGAGACCACCAAACAGGCTTTGTGTGAGCAATAAAGCTTTTAATCACCTGGGTGCAGGCAGGCTGAGTCCAAAAAGAGTGTCAGCAAGGGAGATGGGGTGGGACCGTTTTACAAGATTTGGGCAGGTAAAGGAAAATTACAGTCAAAGGGGGGTTGTTCTCTGGCGGGCAGGAGTGGGGGTCACAAGGTGCTCAGTAGGGAGCTTTTGAGCCAGGATGAGCCAGGAGAAGGAATTTCATGAGACAATGTCATCAGTTAAGGCAGGAACAGGCCATTTTCACTTCTTTTGTGGTGGAATGTCATCAGTTAAGTCAGGAACCGGCCATCTGGATGTGTACGTGCAGGTCACAGGGGATATGATGGCTTAGCTTGGGCTCAGAGGCCTGACATTCCTGTCTTCTTATATTAATAAGAAAAATAAAATGAAATAGTGGTAAAGTGTTGGGACGGCGAAAATTTTGGGGGGTGGTATGGAGAGATAATGGGTGATGTTTCTCAGGGCTGCTTCAAGCGGGATTAGGGGCGGCATGGGAACCTAGAGTGGGAGAGATTAAGCTGAAGGAAGATTTTGTGGTAAGGGGTGATATTGTGGGGTTTTTAGAAGAAACATTTGTCATATAGAATTATTGGTGATGGCCTGGATACGGTTTTGTATGAATTGGAAAACTAAACGGAATAAGAGAAGGAGAAAAACAGGTATTAAAGGTCTAAGAATTGGGAAGACCCAGGACATCTAATTAGAGAGTGCTTAAGGAGATTCAGCATAGTCCTGCCAGCAAAGATTATTTATTTACTTTAAGAGTTAAGAGTGGCAGTTTGGGGATAGCACCAGGAGGTATCAGCTGTGATGGCTTGGAGAAACAGTGTAAACCGGCAGTGTAAACAAAAGCAGAGCATGTATGAGTAGTTGAGAATGGTGAATAGGAGTATGACTAGACAGAAGAAGTAGGGATGACAAGTTTTTTGGGGCACAGTCCAAGTTGGTCTGGTGTCTGGAATGAGACTGGGGCCTAATAAAAAGGAGCATCTAAACAGGAGCTCAAATGGACTGTACCCTGTAGCATTCCGAGGACAGGCCTGAATTCTGAGAAGGGAAAGTGATAAAAGTATTGTGTAGTCCTTTTTAAGTTGGTGGATGAACTTGGTGAGGTGTGTTTTTAAAAGACCATTAGTCTGTTCTATCTTTCCTGAAGACTGAGGACTGTTAGGGATATAAAGGTTTCACTGAATACCATGAGCCTGAAAAAATGCTTGGCTGATTTGACTAATAAAGGCTGATCTGTTATAGGACTGTATAGAGGTGGGAAGGCCAAACCGAGGAATTATGTCTGACAGAAGGGAAGAAATGACCGCGGTGGCCTTCTCAGACCTTGTAGGAAAGGCCTCTACCTATCCAGTGAAAGTGTTTACCTAGACTAAGAGATATTTTAGTTTTCTTACTTGGGGCATGTGAGTAGTCAATTTGCCAGTCCTGGGCAGGGACAAATCCCCGAGCTTGATGGGTAGGAAAGGGAGGGGGCCTGGACAATCCCTGAGGGGTAGTAGAATAGCAGATGGAACACTGAGAAGTGATCTCCATGAGGATAGTTTTCCAGGATGGAAAGGAAATGAGAGGTTCTAAGAGACGGGCTAGCAGCTTGTAACCTACGTGGAAGAGGTTATGAAATGACGACAGAATAGAATGGGCCTGTGAGGCTGGAAGGAGATATTTTCCTTGGTCTAAGAACCATTTGCCTTGTGTGGGACAAGATTGATAGGTGGAAGTTTCAGCGGGGGAGTAGGATGTGAAGGATCAGTGGGAGTGACCGATGTGAAGGAGAAAAACTGAAAGTGAGGGATATAAGTTGGACTGGTAGCTGCTTTTTTAGCTATCTTATCAGCATAAGCATTGTCCTGAGCGATGGCATCTGATGCCCTTTAATGGCCTTTGCAGTGAATGACTCTAGCTTCCTTTAGAAGTAAAGCAGCTTTGAGAAGCATTTTTATTAAAGAGGCATTACTGATAGAGGACCCTTGCGTAGTGAGGAAACCTCTTGCATGATGGTGCAGGATATGGAAGGCATATTTAGAGTCAGTATAAATATTGACGTTTAGTCCTTTTGCAAGAGTGAGGACTTGACTTAAGGCAATGAGTTCAGCTTGCTGAGAGGTAGTGGAGGGGGACAGAGCAGTAGCCTCAATGACAGATGCGGAAGATACTATAGCATAGCCTACCTTTGCTGGTGAGTGGCGATTAGGCCTGGTGGAACTGCCATCAATAAACCAAGTGTGTTCAGGGTGAGGAAGATGAAAGATGGAAATGTGGGGAAATGGGGTGAACGTCAGGTGGATCAGAGAGATGCAGTCATGAGGGTCAGGTGTGGTATCCGGAATAATGTGGGAGACTCAACAAAGAGTGAGTACAGCTGAAGGAGCCAGGAAGCAGAAAGTATATGTGTCAGGTGTGAGGAAGAAAATAGATTTTGGAAGTTATGAGAACTGTAGAGAGTGAGTTGAGCATAGTTTGTGATTTTAAGGGCCTCTAAAAGTATTAGGGCAGTGGCAGCCGCCACACGCAGACTTGAGGGCTAGGCAAAACAGTAAGGTCAAGTTGTTTGGATAAAAAGGCTACAGGGTGCGGTCCTGGTCCTAGTGTAAGAATTCTGACCACACTAACCATGCCTAGGAAGGAAAGGAGTTGTTGTTTTGTAAGGGATTGAGGTTTGGGAGATTAGTCAGACACGCTCAGCAGGGAGAGCACATGTGTTTTTATGAGAATTATGCCGAGATAGGTAACAGATGAGGATGAAATTTGGGCTTAACTGAAGTAATGGGGGCTGTCTGTGAAGCCTTGCAGCAGTACAGCCCAGGTAATTTGCTGAGCCTAATGAGTGTCAGGGTCAGTCCAAGTGAAAGCAAAGAGAGGCTGGGATGAAGGGTGCAAAGGAATAGTAAAGAAAGCATGTTTGAGATCCGAAACAGAATAATGGATTGTGGAGGGAGGTATTGAGGATAGGAGAGTATATGGGTTTGGCACCATGGGGTGGATAGGCAAAACAATTTTGTTGATAAGGCTCAGATCCTGAACTAACCTGTAAGGCTTTTCTGGTTCTAGGACAGGTAAAACGGGGGAATTGTAAGGAGAGTTTATAGGCTTTAAAAGGCCATGCTGTAACAGGTGACTGATAACAGGCTTTAATCTTTTTAAAGCGCACTGCGGGATGGGATATTGGCATTGAGCAGGGTAAGGGTGATTAGGTTTTAATGAGATGGTAAGGGTTGCATGATCAGTCGCCAAGGAGGGAGTAGAGGTGTCTTATACTTGTGGGTTAAGGTGGGGGGATAAAAGAGGAGGATGCAAAGGAGGCTTTGGATTGGGAAGAAGGGTGGCAATGAGATGTAGCTATAGTCCAGGAATAGTCAGGGAAGCAGATAAAGTGTCTCAGCCTAATAAGGGAACTGGGCAGGTGGGGATAACTAAAAAGGAGTGCATTAAAGAGTATTGTCTAAGTTGGCACCAGAGTTGGGGAGTTTTAAGAGGTTTATAAGCTTGGCTGTCAATACCCACAACAGTTATGGAGGCAAGGGAAACAGGCCCTTGAAAAGAAGGTAATGTGGAGTGGGTAGGCTTTGTATTGATTAAGAAGGGGACAGACTTACCCTTCACTGTGAGAGTTACCAAAAGCTCGGCATCCGTGATGGTCTAAGGGGCTTCTGAGGCGATCGGGCAGTGTCAGTCTTCAGCTGCTAAGCCGAGAAGATCTGGGAAGGAGTCAGTCAGAGAGCCTTGGGCCAGAGTTCCAGGGGCTCTGGGAGTGGCTGCCAGGTAAGTTGAACAGTCCGATTTCCAGTGGGGTCCCACACAGATGGGACACAGCTTAGGAGGAATCCTGGGCTGCAGGCATTCCTTGGCCTGGTGGCCAGATTTCTGGCACTTGTAGCAAGTTCCTGGGGGAGGCAGTTCTGGAGGAACACCTGGCCACTGCGGTTTAGGTGTTTGGAAGTTCTTGTGTGCTGGAGATGTGGCTGGGGTTTGTCTCACAGTGGAAGCAAGGAAGGCATTGCAACTCAGAAATATGTTGCTACTTGGCTGCCTCTACTCTATTATTGTACACCTTGAAGGTGAGGTTAATTAAGTCCTGTTGTGGGGTTTGAGGCTGGAATTTAATTTTTGGAGTTTTATTTAATGTCGGGAGCAGATTGGGTAATAAAATGTATATTGAGAATAAGACGGCCTTTTGACCTTTTAGGGTCTAGAGCTGTAAAGTGTCTCAGGGTTGCTGCCAAATGAGCCATGAACTGGACTGGATTTTTATGTTTGATGAAAAAGAGCCTAAACACTATCTGATTTGAGATAAAGAAAAAGGAGCATTAACCTTGACTATGCCTTTAGCTCCAGCCACCTTTTTAAGAGTAAATTGCTGGGCAGGTGGGGGAGGGCTAGTCACGGAATGAAACTGTAAGCCTGACTGGGTGTGAGGAGGGGAGGTGATAAAAGGATTATAGGGTGGAGGAGTGGAGCCTGAGGAAGAATTGAGACCTATCTCAGCCTGGTGAGGAGGGGAGAGGTCAGATGGGTCTGTAGAAAAGGAAGATTAGAAAGACTTAGTGACACTTGGGGTTGGGACTGAGGGGACAGGTGGGAGGGAAAGAAGGAAGATTTGGGAGGAGTTGCATTGGGAACAGAGACTAGGGAGGGACCGATGTGTAAAAGAATGCCTGGACATCAGGCACCTCAGACCGTTTGGCTATTTTATGACAAGAATTATTTAGATCTTGTAGGATGGAAAAATTGAAAGTGCCATTTTCTGGCTATTTGGAACTACTGTTGAGTTTGTATTGGGGTCAAGTGGCATCGCAGAAGAAAATAAGATGCTTAGATTTTAGGTCAGGTGAGAGTTGAAGAGGTTTTAAGTTCTTAAGAACACAGGCTAAGGGAGAAGAAGGAGGAATGGAAGGTGGAAGCTTGCCCATAGCGAAGGAGGCAAGCCCAGAGAAAAGAGAGTAGAGACACGGAGAAGAGGTGGGGGGTTCTTGCCCTCCAGAAAAGCAGAGAAGGGGTCGCGGTGTGGAAATAAGGGGTTGTAGCACAGAATTAAGAGGTCGGGGTGCAGAAATAAGGGATTGGGGTGCAGAGATAAGAGGTCGGGGTTCCTGCCCCTCCCCCAGAAAAGTGGGACTTGCCGCTAAGGGTGAAGGAGAAGGGGTTGAGGTGTTCTTGCCCCTCCCCTAGAAAAGCGGAGAAGGGGTAGAGACACAGAGAGAAGGGGTTGGGGTTCTTGCCTCTCCCCAAGAAAAGCAGGACTTGCTGCTAAGGGTGAAGGACCAAGGCAGGCATCCCTGTGTGGTCTGACACCCCTGAAACATGGGTGAATAATCAGAGAGGTGTCCCTGCAATGATTAAACACCAAGAGAAGGCTGCCTTTCCAGTCCATGACCGGCGCCAGAGTTTTGGGTCCACGGGTAAAACGTGTCTCCTTTGTTTCTACCAGAAAATGAAAGGAATTGAAATGAAGAGAAGGGAGAGATTGAAGTGTGGCACCAAGACTGAAAGGAGAAAGAGGTTGAGGGATAGTGAGGGAGGTTGGAGAAGAGAGTAAAAAGAGGCCGCTTACCGGATTTGAAATTGGTGAGACGTTTCTTGGGCTGGTTGGTCTGAGGACCTGAGGTTGTAAGTGGATCTTTCTCATGGAGCAAAGAGCAGGAGGACAGGGGATTGATCTCCCAAGGGAGGTCCCCCGATCCAAGTCACAGCACCAAATTTCATGCATGTCCATGTGAAGAGACCACCAAACAGGCTTTGTGTGAGCAATAAAGCTTTTAATCACCTGGGTGCAGGCGGGCTGAGTCCAAAAAGAGAGTCAGCGAAGGGAGATAGAGGTGGGACCGTTTTACAGGACTTGGGCAGGTAAAGGAAAATTACAGTCAAAGGGGGGCTGTTCTCTGGCGGGCAGGAGTGGGTGTCACAAGGTGCTCAGTAGGGAGCTTTTGAGCCAGGATGAGCCAGGAGAAGGAATTTCACAAGACAATGTCATCAGTTAAGGCAGGAACAGGCCATTTTCACTTCTTTTGTGGTGGAATGTCATCAGTTAAGTCAGGAACTGGCCATCTGAGTGTGTACGTGCAGGTCACAGGGGATATGATGGCTTAGCTTGGGCTCAGAGGCCTGACACCATTGAATGCAAAATAAAAGTTTAAAAAATTGTATAGCTAGGTACTATTATACCAGTTTTACAGATGAAGAAATTAAACTTGTTTGGGGCAACAGAGCTAGCATTGAAACCAGCATTTCAAACCAGATAGACAGACTCTAAAGCCCAAAAGAGAAAGAAAATCTTCAAGAATAAATATATTAATAGAGATTTCAATACAGTATATACAAAGATTAACAAGAAGAGTGAGAGTACATATGGGCACAAATAAGGGAAAAACAGAAAAGGGAGACTACTTAAAGTCAGAGGGAGGCTGCTCCCAATATTTTATTATTACAATCAATGCTGTGATGAACATCTAAGTGTAAATAGCTTTCCATCCTGCTTAAGTATTTGCTTAAGCAATTCCTAAATACAGAATGATTGAGTCAAGAAATATGCAAGATTTTATGGCTTTTTCTACATATCGTTAAATTACTCTTCTGGGTTACTGCACCAGAAAGCCATCAGCAAAGAATGAGAGCATATCTGTTTTATTTTGTCTTCAAAAAGTTTGGCGTTATTTAAATAAAAATTTGTTTAGTTTGTAGGGCAAAAAAAGAGAGAATAAAATAATCGTATTCATAATTATAGAAAATATGTCAAATAATATACCTATATTAAGAAACTATCTACTACACATTCTGATAAAGTTTCTTGCATAGTAAATAAATATGGAGCTTAGAAAAAGAAAATGTTGAGATTATTTTTCTCTAAAAATGATTTGTTACCTTTTCTGCATTAAGTTCCAAAGCAATTGATATTTACAAAATGTTTCAAGAATATATTCCTGGAATTTTTTTTCAGCATTCTATAACAATATGACACCAGCATCCTCATTCTTTTACTTTCTATGATTTTCAAAATGAAACTTGTAATGTAATGTTAACTAATTTCCTGATGGTAGCCATCAATAAAAATTAGCATTAGGTCTCTGGGAAGCTGATGCTACTTATTTTGGAAATCAGTGTAAAGGTATTTGGGGAATTTCTAATATAAATTGAAGGTGTCTTTTCTATACATCTTATTTGAGCCACAAAATGAGTCAAAATTTAAATCAAGGGTAAATAATACAGTAGAACAAAGTATACAACACTCATTAAAATTTAAAGTTTAAAAATTATTCAGAGGAATGTATTATTTGGTATCTGAAAGAATAGCTTTATTTTCACAATTTTAAGTGCCAAAAAGTAAGAAAATAGAAGTCTACATTTTATTTTATCATAAAATAATATTCTATTCTTCAAACTTGCTATATGTGTTATGTAATTCCCTTATGTCAACTATTAAAGGGCTGTCTAAACAGATAACATGTGTGACAGAGATTGGGTGATTTCTCACAACCCCACTTTTTCATCATGGGTATCTGGAAACAGTACTTCAAAAAATTGCAGTCCTCTTGTGGTTTGTTACTTGCTATATGATTTGGCCAAAGGACTGTGGGTAGAAGAGATTTACATACATCGACTTGGCTGTAATACATTCTTTACTCTCTGTCATAGGCTATCATTGCCAACTGTATTCAGCGGATCCAATGAAGAATTCTGCATCCAGCCCTAGAGATGTTGGAGACACAAGCTGCAGGTAGCTTGGATCCCTGGATCCTTCTCGTACGAGAGCATCGCTTTAAACCTACTTTATCCCTACTATTATGAAAGGGAGAAATAAGCTTTTATTATTTTAATCCACTAAGATATTTTGGCTGTTCTTGACAGCAGCCAGAAATTAATTATTTTGACTAATAAAATATAAAGCCATATTAGAAAGCTTTTATGGTTACGTCAGAATGTTCAAAATAAAAATGCCAGATATTTAATAATGTTATTGGGCTTAATCTATTCTGATTGATCACTGATAGGAAAATCTGTATTATTTTACATGAGCTTTGTTTCTTAGATTTCACATGCTTAAAGCAGTACCTAAAAGCATTAAAATATACATTTTAGACAGTTGTAAAGCAGGTTGCAAATTATACATAATATAAATAGAAGTAGAAAATATAATTATTATACCCTTAATATTTTGACTTAAGTATACTACATTCTTGGCATGCACTTGCCTGTATAAAATGAAGCTTAATAACACAAGAATGTAACCATCATTAATACAATTCAGAAACCCATACAGAGTGATTAAAGTAACTCAAATTGCCCTTGATCATATTTCTGACCACTTATCAGAACTGTCTTTATACCGTCATTAGCTGAGCTTCTCTTTTGTAGTTTCCTATGTCCTTGTCAAGTAATTGCTTCATAACCAGATCAATGAGAATCTACTAAAAAGAATTAAGATCAAACTCAGCCCAAATACCCTTTTCAATGTAGAACTGTCCTCTTTGACATTAGTATAGAACAATTAATATACATTTATGTTCACCACTGTCCCTAAATTCCCTCTATTGGGGAAAAGAATTGCAAAGATTCAGGATTTTTTGCACAATTCAACATAGCCTTCAGAGGAAGATATATGCTATTATGACATCTGAAACTCTACTAGTTCAATGAATTTCTCAGAAAGATGGTAAGTTTTTTGTGGTTGATATGCCTGAAAAAAATGTTCTCCACAATAGGAAAGAAATAATTAAACCTAGCAGTGTTTCCTTCTGCAAGCTATCAAAGTGAAAGGCTAGAAATTGCAGAACAGTGATTATGTGCTGCCCAAACATCTATTGAAATGGTATTCAGAATTAGTACTGTAGCCAATATATTTAATTCCAAATTTCAATGTAACAATTATTGGCTGAGAACATAATGAGAGCAGATAGACCATAGAGGTTGTGCTATCACTGTGCTAAACATGTTTATAGTCTATTAAGTATAGTCCATTATAGTCCACAAACAAGGGAAATATAAGTAAAATGTGTAAATATTATGAAAGATGTTCAAATCTGTATTGTGCCAATCAAAGAATGTCAATAACTCACAGAAAATATTCTTTTGGGTGTTTTAAAATTTAGTTGCTCCTGAATTTCTCTAGTTAAAAATAATTGTGTATATGTGTGTATATTTTTAATTTTGAAATTTTCTTTTATTATTATATAAGAGTGACTTGTTCTTACTTTGAAAAGTTTTGGATACACAGAAAATGTAAGGATAAAATTACAAGTACATATAATCTCATTACCCAGAAGCAATTACAACTAATATTTTGGTGTTTTAATAGCCAATAATTTCTGATAACATTTTTAAAAAGTTGGTACATATAAAATTTTATATCTCTATGTTTACCATTTCACATTATAGCAGCACAACTTCTAAGTATTTACAAGTGTTACTCAAATGCTCACCTTTTATTTTATGTTCTCTTTTATTGTTGAACCTCAATAGGTTATTTACAATATTTCACTTTATATGTAACATTGGTAAGAGCACCTTTGTCAAGATACTGAGATATTTCCTCAACCATCCTACATATTATGTCTTCAGGAATTGAAATTACTGGTTCAAAAAGAAAAAAAGAAAACAACACATTTTAGAAATTCTTGCTACATACTTCCAAGTAATTTTCCTAAGTACCAATTCCCACTGTCAAAATATATTCATCTCACTATATCTCCGTATTTATGTATGCTAAATTTGATCTATTTCTACATTATTGTTATTTTGAACTGTATTCCTCTGTTCAGGGTTTGGATAAATAGTTTCACCCCTTTCTATAATTTAATTTTTATGACTTGATGAAAACAAGCTGTTGTTTTCATGTTTTACCTTCTGAGTTATTTAGGTTTTTTTTTAATACTTTCTTATAGGCTCACTTTGGACACATTGTGTGCATTAGGTAAGTCTACTAGTAAAACAACAATCAAATTTTCCACATTAGAGGACAAAGTTGTGGCAAGACATCTATAATCCATTCACACTGGCTAAGTCAAAGCATGGAATGGTTCAGGAAGCTGCCAAATATATTGTGCTTTGAAAAAGTCAAATAATTGATTGGCCAACAAATTTTCAAAATTTTTCTCGAAAACATGGTTTATGCCACTGTATATGCAGTTTAAAAAATGTTAAAAGTTTTTCTAAAGTACCAAGATTTTATTTGAAACAAAATAACCATTTAATACTCCTTCATCAAGTTCATGAAAGCTGTATTTAACTTAAGAGTGGAGAGCAACATAGCAAACTAGATGATCTCCTAGAAATCTATAACTTTCCACTATCACTTGAGGATGTTTATCAGGATTATAATTGAATAACAGATTTCATTATAGTTTACACATCTTAGATTATGATTATTGCTGTCAAAGTTTCTGAGATTTACTATTTCTCTTTTAAAATATGACATAGTAAAAGTTTCAGTAAAACAGTTTATCTCCTTTAATAATTGTAAAATGTAAAAATAGTTTTGACAATAAAATATTTGTATTATTCTACTTTTAAGAGTATTTTAGTAAATTTATTAACTTGAAAACTCAAGACATTATTTACATCTATTTTCTTTTTGGTCATACAGATATTTTTAAAAATGCTATAAAGTTGATATTAGTATTATTTATACAAAAAGATCTATAGTTTTGGGTGTAGTAGATAGGATGATAATTAGGCTCATGGGCTCAGATTATTTTACTTATGTTGAAATTGAGGTATAATCTCATATGGAATCTATGATATTGAGAAGGCTATTTAACCTTATTACATATAAGCCTTCTCATTTATAAAATGAAGACTAAGGTAATAGCAACTTGAATTGTGTGGGATAGATGAGATAATATATGTAAAGCATTTAGCCCAATACCTGACAATAAGGTGATTGACAATTATTAAAGGTTACTAAAGAAGTAGTACTAGGAATAATATGGTTGGTATTTTATGGAAGATAATTTATTTTAAGGTACATAAGTGTCATTTTTTTTTTGAAAAAGTAATATTTTATGACAAAACAAAATGCCATCTTTAATCCACATATTAAAAGAATTAGATAAAAACTTTCAATTAACATCATTACAAGAATGAATGTCTAAATATAGTAAATATAAAACCCTATTATGTAAAGTTGGGAATAGATGACTCATATCTTATGCTTAGTCTTTCCTCGATTCCATATAATGTTCTCAGAAGAGCTTCTTTTTCTGTCATAATTTTGTTTTGTTTTCATATTTGGTGGTGGTTGTGGGCCTTAAAAATCTTATCTATTCCAAAACATTATCCTTTATGCTGCTTGTATATTTTGGAGCATTTGGTTAATCCAAACACAACTTTATCCGTTTATAACTGATGTAGTAATAGTTACTGTTAATTACATATCATAAACTTGACAGTATTCACAACTTGCAGTATCAACACAATTTTTTTTTTGCATCATTGCTTTGCCTTTCATATGTTAGCAGAAGATCACACTTTGAGATTGGAAAACATAAGTAAAACTACATAAAATTTCTCCATACGAGTTTTGAACCAAATAAAAGATTTAGAGAGATGATGAGTAAAATATCAGCAATATTACTAAGAAAGAAATTTGGAGAATGTAATGTAGAAGTGGCAAAATAGACTCGTAAATATAAGCAACCTCCCAAATACCTTGAACATACTTTTTCCAGAGAAGCCTGCCTACCCTTTAGAAGTTAAATACTACCCCACTAAGCCTACCCATAATGAGAAGCATGTTATTGGATGCATCCTTGCTGTAGGCACAAGCATACCAAAGCAAGAAATTCCTGTAGGCAGAAAGAGACAAAAGTAGCTGGGCTGCCCACTCACTTTCTAGAAACTGAGAAAGGCTGAAAAAGCCCAGGTAGCATATGCTTGGGACATGCTTCTTAAGAGGAGGAGAAGGACTTGGTATTTTCCCTACTTTCTTATAGCTACCATATGAGGTCATTAACCTTGTTACCAAGATTATAGTACTAGAAGCATTATTTTTGTTCCCTTTTTAGTGGGTTTGTACAAGATGTGATGTAACTACATATATACATACAATACTAGCTTAAAAACAGAAAAAAAATCACAAAGAAATGTTATAAATTGAACTAGATGAAAATTAATAAATTCTTATAATTAGCCCAATCCATGAGCAGCATGGAAAAAACAAAGCTGTGTCCACTCTTTCTCAACTGTAAAACACTTTCATGTGAGTAATCCCCATGACCTAAAAAGAAACAGGATGATTTTAGTTATATTTGTATATATTTTACTTATATATTAAGTATATATTTCACATACATATTACACAACTTAAATTGTGAATGGCTTCTAATCATGTCTGCATTGAAATTTATGCTTCCTAACCTGACATTGGAGCCATAAGATTGGACTGTTTCAACTCACTATGTTTTTATCCAAATATATTCTCTGCACCTTTTCACTTTACCTGGTAATCTCTGTTCCCTGTCGTTTGCTTGGATTGAGTCATCTTGATTTTCAGATGGCGAGTAAAATGTCACTTTCTCTGAGAAGCCAACTTTCACAGCCCAATCTAAAGCAGATCCCTAGTGACATAATCTCTTAATTAACCAGTGTTTTAAAATATTTGATTTTCCTAGTAAACTTAAGTCCATGAGGGTTTTGTTTAGCTCTGATTGCCTAGTGTCTATAGTACATGAAAAGCAGTAACCACTCCAAAACCAACTTTTTGAATAAATGAGTGAGTGAATGAATGAATTAATGTGCTCAATCTTCTTCCAGCTGTAAGCAACATAACTATGCCATTATCATTTATTTACTTGGATTACTAAAATATACCTTATAAAAAATCTCTGCATCTAATTTTGCCTTATACTAATCCATTATTCATATCCTCTTCACTACAAAGAATGATCTTGTAAAGTATAAATCTGATCACAATCACATCTCTTCCTTAAAGCCCTCCCATTATTTTCTGTTGTACTAATAAAAGATAAAAATACTCATTATTATATGCAAAGGTATACATGGCAGTTTCCAGGTCAAACCATATTTCCTTGTATGTTTTCCTCCATCACTAGGTTAGAGTCACACAAAAAATATTTTATTATTTTTTCCTTAATTGAAAAATACAAAATCAAACATATTTATGGTGTACATGAAGTTTTGATACATGTATACATTGTGAAATGGTCAAATCCAGCTAATTAACATATCCATCACCTCACATGCTTATTTTTTGTGATGAGATTATTTAAAATCTACTCAGCAATTTTTACATTTACATTATCATTATTATAGTCACCATGCTGTACAATAGATTTCCAGAATTTATTTCTCTTGTCTAATTGAAACTTTGTGCCCTTTAGCCAACATCTCTCCACTTACCAACCCCGTCTCACTGCCGCCTTGAGTACAACCACCAATGTACTTTCTGGTTCTATGATTTCCATTATCTTTAGATTCCACATATAAGAGATCATGCAGTATTTGTATTCCTATGCCTAGCTTATCTCCTTAACATAATATCCTCCAGACTCATCCATGTTGTTGGAAATAAGATTTCCTTCTTTTTAAAATCTCAGTAGTATTCTATTGTGTATATATAGCACATTATTTTTTGTTTATTCATTTGTTGATGAGCATTTAGGTTGTTCCATATCTTGTTTATTGTGAATAATGCTGAAATGAACGTGAGAGTGCAGCTATCTCCTCAACATACTGATTTCATTTACTTTGAATATATACACAGTAGTGGGATTGCTGCATTATATGGTAATTTTCTGAGGAACCTCCATACTGATTTCTATAGTGGCTGTACTACTTTACACTCCCACTGACAGTGTACATAGGATCTCTCCACATCTGTGCCAACACTTATCTTCTGTCAGCTATTATTATGAATGTGAAATTATATCACCTTGTGATTTTAATATGCATTTCCCTGATGACTGATGATATTGAGCACCTCTTCATATACCTGTTGGCCTTTTGTATGTTTTCTTTTGGGAAATGTCTATTCAGGTCCTTCGCCCTTGTTTTCCTGAGATTACGTATTTTTTTTCCTGTTGAATTGTTTGATTTTCTTATATATTTTGGAGTAACTCCTCATTAGACATATGGTTTACAAATATTTTCTGCCATTCCTCGGGTTGCCTCTTTACTCTGTTGATTTTCTCCTTTGCTGTAGAGAAGCTTGTTAGTTTGTTAGAATCATATTTGTCTATTTTTGCTTTTGTTGCCTGTGCCTTTGAGGTATTATCCAAAAAATCATTGCGTAAACCAGTGTCAAGTAGGTTTCTCCTTATGTTTTTGGCTAGTGGTTTTGGAGTTTCATGTCTTATGCTTAAGTCTTTAATCCATTTTGAGTTGACTTTTGTGTATGAGATGAGGTACACTTTCAGTGTTTTGCCTGTGGATATTCAGTTAAAATTACTTTATTCTTAATCATACCTAGCTTATTTCTGCTTCAACACCTTCACACATGTTATATCCTACTCCTGAACTCAAATCTCCTATTTTTCAACCGTTTAACATTAATAATCCTTGAAGTCTCTGCATGCGTTTTGCTTCCCGTGTAAAGATTTCTTGATGCTCCCATGAGAAATAAAGTGTGCCATCTGTTCTATTGTCATTGACGGTTACAAGTATAATTGGTTCAACTATAGTCTTTTTCCCACAAGACTATAAACTCCCTGAACATGGGCATGGCTCATCACATACAGTACTGTGCCAGAAACACAGTAGGAAATCATTATTTTTTAATAAAGTAATAAATTATTTTTTAAAATGTGCTATTGAATGAGACTTTTAAAAATTGATGAATGATTTATTTATTCCATAAATATTTACAAAATCCCACATGAAAGCACTGTTTTATAGTCAGGAAATGCAACAAGGAAAAAATAGACAAAAGCCCTGCCTTTGGAGAGCTTATATTCAGATAAGGATAATAGATCATAAACAGATGAAATATGCAATATGTTCAAAGATGATGATAAGTTCTAAGAGGAATAAATATGTAAAGAAGGTGATGGATGTTGAGTAGGGTTCTCCATGAGTTGGAAAAAATGTAAGTGTTTCTAATGGACATGTGAATATACATAACTGGAAGGTGTTAGGCATATTCTCCTTTCCGTGAACTAAATATTTCTTTGTCTTAATTTGTTAAGGACACTGTGAGACTTTGCTGAGCCTCATTAGAGACTATATCAGATAATCTTCTGACATTAATGAATCTTTATAATTTTCTTTTTATTTTAGCCTGAAGGACTTTACAATGAGAAGTGAGACACCCCTGAAATGAATTTAAGCCTTCATGCAATATATACCTCTGAAGCAGGTGCAATAGTGATTTAGGGTAATTTTACTGAACTTTTATAGTCTTTTTTCCTAGTTTTGCAGTTTTTAGAGGTGCATGAAAAACAATAGACTCCTCATGTTCCATAGATGATTCAATTTGCCAAGCTATACCCAGAAGAAGATACAATGTGAGGAGAAAAATCATTAGTTTAAGAATCAGAAAACCCATGTACTCATTTTAATTACTCCACATTTTGCAAGGTATCATTTTCTCTGAGCCATGATTTCTCTTGTTGTGTAATTGCACTAATAATTCTTTGCCTGCCTCATATCCTGGCTATTGTAAGACTCCAAAGAAATCATTTGTATTAAACTCATTATAAAGTAGTGAACAAATATAAGGTGATACTTATCATTAAGTTTAAGGGCACATAACTAAATTCTATTCAAGGAAAATAGGTAATATAAACTTTTGAGTTATTAATTCATGGCTAAATACATAAAAAACAAAACAACAATAAAAAAAGTTTCTCTGAAGATTTATTTAGCCTATTTTCAGTTAAGTTAGGATTATTGACTTAAATTGTATTTATGTATATCCCTTTTAATCTTGTATTAGCATTCATTTTAAATTGCAAATATATGTCTATCACTTTCATTAAATTCAGACATGCTTGAAGATAAAAATGATTTCATATTTTTATTCCTGCATATAAATTTTTACATAACTTTTAAATAAGGATATAATGAATACTTTAATATAATATTTTGTATTAAATTTGGTGAATGCCAAATATCTTCAAATTTCCCCTAGGAAACAATAAAAGAAGCATGAGTTTTTCATTTTTAGGGATATTTCAATATTTACCGGATTTAAGTTATTCTTTGAAGCTGTCCAATTATTATGCAATATATATCTTACTTTAAAAATTATTATTATGATCTGAAGAAGCCACATATTGGAGAATAGAGAACATCTGAAGATTTATTGAAACACCAATATTTTATTATCTCACATTTTGAAATTCAGTTTTCAGGCAGATTCATATTATTTAATCAATATCTCATTGCCATTGTATTTTTCAAGAATCTGTGGCTTTTCAGGCTTATCCACTTGATTCTGAAATCATTAGCTCTACTCTGAAACCATGAACACTACTGAGTTTCTATAATCCTGTCTTCTTGATCTGTTTTTATAAAAATCTGTTAAGCATAGAGTGTGAACACACATTGGTTACTATAGATATGATTTATAATTGTTTTGATGTCTTTTTACTATATAAGGAAAAAGTAGCACCATATTAGTTTGAAAGAGAATTATTTTATATAGTATGTATGTGTATTTTAATTGTAAGTTTTCTTCACTTATAAAAATTATGCCACAGATTCCATCTTGTCCCTGGAGATTCTATTTCCCTATATTAATAGAAAGTTCACATTAACTATTCTAATCTTATCACTATAGTATCGATCCCAACTTCTTTCATTCTCACAAATGGGAAAGGCTAAGTAAATACTTTTCTAGACTGGGTTATTTCTGTTCATATAGAAAGTAATACTAGTAAAGTCCTGCTCATGACTATGATGATAAAACATTGCTCAAGGCAACTGGTTGAGGTTGGGATGAATACCATCTGACTAATTACGGCAAAATAAAGGGGTCACATCAACATAATTAGCTCATTCTTTCTGTGAGCAGTGTAGGATAATGTATAATATGACTTCCTAGCTACCATGGGTCCAGTTCACTAGCCTTACTAGAATATCTGTGCTCTAATTGTCTGGTGCTCTTGCTCATGCTGTCATGCTGTTTCTTCTGGGTGGAGTGCTTACTCCCATTTTTCAGCTTGTAAAAATGTTTGTCATGCTTAAACCTGTTAGCATAACATAGAGGTCAATTACTCAGATGGTAGACAGAGATTGCTTGAGTTTGAATACAAACTCTGCTAAAAATTTCATATGTGCTGTTGAAAACGTTACGTAACCTCTCTATGGCTTAGTTTCTTCAGATGTTTTATCAGTCAGGGTTCACCAAAGTAATAGAACAAATTGGAGATTTTATATATGTATATAAAACTGATTTATTATGAAGTGTTGCCTCCTGAGATTATGGAAGCCAAGAAGTCTCAAAATCTGCCATCAGAAAGCTGGAGACCCAGGAAAACCGGTGGTGTAGGGTGAAGGCCTGGAAGCCAGATTGCTGATGGTGTATGTTCCAGTCCAGATCTGATGGCCTGAGAACCAAGAGCATTGAGGGCCAGGGAAATTCAGTTTCCCAGCTTACCAGTTAGGCAGAGAGGGGTGGAGTCCTCCCTTTCTCCACTTTCTGGTTCTAGTCACGTCCTCAATGGGTTGACTGCTGCCACTCATATTGAGGAAGGCAATCCACTGTACTCAGTCGCCAATTCAAATGCTAATCTTTTCTGAAAATACCCTTACAGACATACCAAGAAAAAAAGTTAATGAGTTATCTGAGCATTCTGAGATCCAGTTAATTTGACACGTAAAAGTAACTATCACAGATGTTTAAAGGGTTAAGATTAAAACCAATTTTTTAGGTTAGATTAAGTCTAACTTTTTATATTGCCAGAATAAAACCACTCAGGGAATATGAGGCACTTAAAATGTTATTTGATAAAGAATAAGTACCAGTAACTGTTTCCTATTACTTTAAATTGTTGGCTGTTATAGTCTTCCTTTCCTTTAACTTTTCATTTAAGTCTTAGTTCAAATGTTATATTTTCTGTTAAGCATTTTACATTTTCTAGACGAATCATTGCTTTTGTCATCTAATGTTCATGGCATTAATGCTGTGCCCTTATGCCATGTACTATGATGGGTCAGAGTAAGTTGTATATGCTTTTTTGATTTCCACTAACTTGTGAGTTCATTAAGAAAATGAAGTTATTCATTTCCATTTTCTTGTGGTTGCTATTTAAAACTCTTCAGATTGCCTGAAAATATTTCCATGTAAACACATGTGAATCTTCACGAAGATGAGCAAAATTTCAGGTGCATCATTGATCTGTGTGCTTTTAAAATATAACTTACAAGCCAATTTTGAAAAAAATATTTTTATTTTGCACTTAAACTTAAAAGTACATACATATTACTTTGTATAAAGTGATATTACTTTGTAATATCAAGTTTAATATTTTAATAAAATCCATTTAAAAACTTTGCTTTTTAAAATTTAAGTATTTTCCCTTCATCCCTGGGCAGATTTGCATTGGAAAATATAACTAATTTCCCTCAACAAAGGAACTGAAAATTGAACTCTCTCTCCTCAAACGACCAAATATCTTTATTATTTTAATGAAACATAGTAAGAACCAAGCCTTTATTTTCCTGTACTCCCATGGAAACTTTTTTCCCCTTGTATTCCTGCACTAAAAATAAGCTCATAGGAAATAGGGATGTCACTAAATTAGATATATCTTATAAAAAGCATATTCAGGCTAATTAAACAATGCCTTCTCTTGTCTACTACAATAACATAAAAAATTTGTGAAATCTACTGATGAAATTTACCTAGATATGTGAAACATTATAAAATATATATTTTGTGTCATTGATATGTTTGCAAAAATTATAAAACCAACAAGACCAAAATAAGCAAGCAAACAACACAATAATAACAACAACGACAAAAGGAAGCATTACATCAAAGCCAGGGCTGCATTGGAATCATATCAATTCCAGTGTTAGGTTTGATGGCAGTAGACTTTTGCTTCTGTAGGGGTTGAAAATAAATATCTTTCTTTCCCATCTCTGAGTTCATGGCTGAGTTCCCTAAAACAAAAGACAAATTTACAAAAGAAAAGTGTAAAAATTTGGGTTTTACACAGCATAGGAACTTTCAGAAGTCAAGACCCAAAGAAACAGGGAAACCTGTTGATATTTATGCTATGTTTGTTGATGTAATATGTGTGGAACAGTATGATTGGACAAAGGGGCATGATCTAATAAACTGGGAAGAGCTTAGCAAGGTCTATATGTTCAGATTATTTTTTGTGCCTTAAGAGATAAGAAAGATAAGAACAGTCCTTTCATCTGGGTATAGGGTGGACACCTCTAAAATGAGGGTCTATTGATCAGCAGAGAAGTAGAAATTATAAAAATAAAAAAATAGCTGGCATCAGAGGGAAATGTTTACCCAAGCAACTTAGTGGAAAGCAGAACTGGAAACACCTAACTAAAATTAAAACATTCAAATGAATTGCACTCTCAATTAAACTAGGGGGAAAGATCCTACTTATGGAAATAATGATTGCAAAAGAAAAATATCCAACTCCATGCCAACATTAGAAAAAAAAAACCATAATTATCATCTTCTTTGAACAATTGAACTATAGACCTAAGAATGTTTGAGTATTGTATTTGAATTTACAGATTTGAATGTGTAGTTAAAAACTGCAATGATTAAAAAAAGGGTTCACAGATTTGTATTCCCTTATTCTCTTAAAAACAAACACAGATCTTTTCTAGGGTAATGGGTTTATAATATTCAAGATGATTTTGAAAGACAGGAACATCTCATCAAATAGCAAAGCTTATTATAAAGGTGTATTTTGTGAGAGATTTTTATTTTTGCAATAGTATATAAAACTATGAATAGAATCAAGTAGATATAAAAGAAAATGATACATACATTTACTTGGATTCATGATGTATTATAGAGATAACATTGCAAATCAATGGGTAATTGACTATATTATGTGACGGTGGAATATCCATGGGAAAATGTGAACTTCAGCTCATGCCAATTAAATAAATCAGGTCCTAATACAAAACTAAATATATCATATTCTGAAGAAAATATAGACCATCATTATAGCCTTAGAAATAGTATAATTAATATATTAATGAAAATAGAGAATATAATTATAACCATAGGATAGGAAAAGGTTTCAAATAAGATATATTATAAAAATTATAGATTAAATAATTTGTCTTTTAACCACATCAGAAGTATATAAGTAACAAATTCCATGATCATACAAATGGTTCAAATGTATACTTGTACATTTGATTATATACAAGTGGTACTTGAAGTTTAAAAATTATACAAATGGTACTGAAAATTAAAAAGGAAATGAGAAGATATTGCTGATATATATAAACAATAAAATACTACATAAAATATAAATTAAAACATGCATGTTAAAAATTAAAAGATAAGACAAGATAACTTCAGCTTAATTACATAGCTCAAGTGATATAAACATGCATTACACGGAAGTGAAGATATGACATTTGTCATAACACTTTATATGACATTATTATTATCTTCAGTTCTCTTGTTGTTTCCACCACATCTGTAGTTACTTCCTCCACTGAAGTCTTAACTCCTCAAAGTCATTCCATGAGAGTTGAAATCAACTTCTTCCAAATTCCTGTGAATGTTTTTATGTTGATCTCCTCCCATGAGTCACACATCTTCTTAATGGCTTCTAGAGTGGGAATTCTTTCCAGAGATTTTCAATTTACTTTGCCAAGATTCATCAGAGGAATCACTCTTTATGGCAACTATACAAAAGGTTTTTTTTTCTTTTTTTTAATAAGACATGAAAGTCAGAATTACTCCTTGATCCATGATTTGCAGAATGGATGTCATGCTAGCAGGCATGAAAATATTAATCTTATTGTACATCTTCATGAGAGCCATTAGGTGACCAGGTGCATTGTAAATGAGAGGTAATATTTTGAAAAAAAACCTTTCCCTTTGTATTTAAAATATGGCTGTTTGTCACAAGGGGCCTAGCTTCTGCTGTCTTGGCTTTTGACATGTATTCTTCACAAAACATAATCATTTCTGGCTTTTGATTTAAAGCGAGAGATGTATGACTCCTGACTCTTCCTTTTACTTGAGCACTTAGAGGTCGTTTTAGGATTATTAATTAACCTAATTTCAGTATGGTGTCTCAGGTAATAGAGAGGCCTTAATTGTAGGAGATTGGTCAGGGTGGTGGGAAAAATTATAGGAAAGATGCTTGGAAAGCCGAGAGGCTTTGCAAAAGCTTTGGGAGAGGATTAAGCTGAAGGCAGCTGATTGTCTTATCTAGAGACTGAGAGCAAAGGATAGATAACAAGAGAATGTAAAGAAACTTATCTACATTTGTTTACTTTTGTCTCTAGAAACCAACCTTTGATCATTCACTGCAGGACTGCTCTCTACTAGGGGGTCGACAATGTTAATTACCTACAAATTGTGTTTGCTCCAAGCCTTTGTCATTAAATCTGTACTAAATAATCTGTACTTATGGGGGTAGCTGCTGCTGCTGCACTGTCATTGGCGGTGCTAAGCAGTGCGGTCCCCTACCTGGGCTGTCAGGCAAAATACCTGTGTCGGCATACTTCTTTCATCCACCCCTCAGCCAGAGTCTGCAGGACAGACTTAGAGGCAGGTGGTGCCCTGTGTGAGGAATGCTGCAACGGATTGCAATAGAACTCTCAAAAATGAAGGTGAAGAGACTGCACAGTCAGTAAGTCATTGGTGCCTGCAGGGGATTTCCAAGTTTGAGCGACTTGTTCAGGCTAGGGTTACATCATGGGACAACAGTTATCAGCTCAACAGCAACAGTATATAAAAGTACTGAAACAGCTGCTTAAAGCTAGTGGAGCCTTCGTCTCGCAGGCTCAATTAAGGGGCTTAATGCAGACTATTGTTTCCCATAACCCATGGTTCTCAGAATAAGGCTTGCTAGATGTGGAGCTCTGGGAACAAGTGGGGAGAAATCTTAAAGAACATCATACACAAGGGCAACAGGTCCCAATAACATCTCTAATGTTATGGGCCTTAGTTAGGGCTGCTTTGGTCCCACTCTACACAGAAGAGCCTAAAAAGGGAAGGGAGGAGGAACCGTCACCTTCTTTACCTCAGTCCCACCATTCTCTGGCAAAAATACCAAAGAGGAAACAGAGGTTTTGCCTGAGCCCCCTCCTGCAATAAATTGGAAAAAAGAGAAGAGATATGCTACAGCTATGGGACCCTGTCTTAGGCAAGTGGCATTAGAAAGGGAGCTCTTGGCCTGCCTGGTAATACAAGATCAACAAGTCAATCAGGTGTATGAACCTATTTCTTTTGATGCTTATAAAGAGATATGAAGAAGAATTAGAGAAAAGGGAGCCACTAGCCCATTTACAAAAGGATTAATTGAAGCCATAGCAAACAACTTCCATATACCCACATGGGACTGGTCAGTGCTAGCTAAAACAACCTTACAGCCCAGCCAATATCTCCTCTGGAAGGCAGAATATAATGAGTTGTGTGAACAAGCCAACCAGAATCAAGTGGCCGGGCGAGACGTAACAGCTGCTATGCTCCAGGGGAGGGGTCCCTATGCCAGTGTACAACAACAATTAAGTTTGGCTTCCCAAACCTATGCACAAGTGTCTTTGTGCACTCTCAGGGCTTGGGACCAAATTCTCAAAAGTGAAGTTCAACAGAGATCTTTTATAAATGTTCAGCAAGGGCCTCAGGAGCCATTTGTTGAATTTATCAATTGGTTAGCCCAGGGAATTAAGAGACAAATTAGTCATACCCAGGCCGCTGATATCTTATTGTTGCAATTGGCTTATGAAAACACTAACATTGACTGCCAGCAAGCAATGCAGGCAATCAGAGGAAAGGCAGCCCCAGTCTGGGGACTTACATGAGCATGTCAACTGGTGGGGACTGAAACACACAAAGCCAAAATATTGGCTATGGCATTAAAGCCTCCTAAGGTGAAAAGGGAGAGAAACCCAAATTGTTTCCTATGCAGAGTCAGGTCATACGAAGAGGGAGTGCCCCAATAGTAGAGACCAAGGTAACGTGGGAAAAGAACCCCATTCTATATGCCCCTGCTGTAAAAAGGGGAAACATTTGGCAAATCAATGACTGTCCAAATTTGATAAAAACGGCAACCCCCTAAGTAATCAGGTGGGAAACTTCATGAGGGGCTGGCCCCAGGCCCCGCTCCAAACTAGGGCAATGCCAGTGGGTTTTCTCAGTCAGATGGAAAGTTCACAGTCCTCTCTCTCAGAGCGGCCACCTCTGGGAGTGCATGACTGGACTTACTCTGCTCCAAAAAATTAGTCCTTAAAGAAGAAGACCCTAAAAAGGTTGCAACCGGGATCTGGGGCCCACTGCCTCTGGGAACAGTGGGATTAGTCCTAGTGCAATCAAGCCTATCCAGTAAAGGAATCAGTGTGATCACAGGGGTAATTAATAGTGAGATATTATTTATGATGAAATGTAAAAGTCTGCATATTCTTCTACCTGGATCAAAGATAGTTTAGTTGCTACTTTTACCATACTGGGTCCCCAATGCCCAGGGAAAGGAAACGGGAAAGGGAAGTTTTGGAAGCACGGGAGCCACAGGAGCATACTGGAACCAATTAATCACAGATCAAAGACACATGATTACCTTAAAAATTGGAAATAAAATTGCTTATTGGACACAGAGGTGGATATTTCAATCATTAGTGATCAAGACTGGCCAGAAACTTGGCCTCGGGTCACTCAGAAGCAAAAAATTATCGGCATGAGGGAAGTGCACACAGCCAAGCAAAGCACGCATCCCCTAACATGTTGGGATTCGGAGGGAAGAAAAGCAGTTATACAACCTCTAATTGTGCCTATGCCCATTAATATTTGGGGACAGGACCTATTAGCCCAATGGGGGATCACTCTGTAGACCCCTTTCTAATAATGGCCACTGTTATTATTCCGCCCATACCCTTAATGTGGCTCTCTCAAGATCCAATTTGGGTAAAGCAGTGGCCTTTAAAGGGAGAGAAATTACAAAGAGCCTATGAATTAGTTGAGGAGCAACCAAAAGCCAGCCATATAGAACCATCAAACAGCCCTTGGAATTCACCCATTTTCGTCATTCCCAAAAGGTCTGGCAAAGGGAGACTTTTTCATGACTTACAAGCTATTAATGCTAATTTGCAACCTATGGGGCCCCTTCAACAATTCCCCACAGTGATTCCTCAAGATTGGCTCTTACTCCTTCTGGATTTACTAGCACTCAAAGAGCTGAGGTTGGAGCCTTAATATTGGCCTTGGAGACCTTTTCCACTCAGCCTATCAATATTGTTAGTGACTCTGCTTACTCTGTTTATTTATTACAGAACCTTGAGACAGCCCTCATTAAGTCTACTCTTGAGCCCACCCTGTGTGCACTTTTTCTTCTACTTCAGCAACTGCTAGATCTACACATCTTATTTTTATCACACATATTCGAGCCCACAGCTCACTGCCTGGTCCACTGGCTTTTGGCAATAATCAAGCCGACTTGCAAGTTATGACATCAGTGCTTGACCCACCCACTCAATCACATCAATTTTTCCACCAAAATTGGAGAAACTTAACTAAACCTTTTCAGTTAACCCAAAGACTAGCTAAACATATTATCCTGCAATGCCCAGATTGCCAGCTCATAGGTATGTCCCCTCCTTCAACAGGTATTAACCCTAGAGGACTAGAACTTAATCAGTTATGGCAAACAGATGTTACTCATGTCCCTGAATTTGGAAAACTTAGATATGTACATGTATCTGTTGATACCAATTCTCACTTAATTAGTGCTTATGCTCTTCCTGGAGAGTCCACCTGATATGTTATTAAACATCTTCTCTCAACTTTTGAATTTATGGGGCAGCCCACAAAAATTAAAACTGATAATGGTCTGGCTTACATCAGCTCACAGTTTCAACAATTTTGTCACATGTGGAACATCCAACATTCTACAGGCATCCCATATATCCCCCAAGGACAGGCCACAGTAGAACGTGTTCATTCTACTCTTAAAAATATGCTCAGAAAACAAAAAAGGGGGAATATGAGTAAGGACCCTGCAACACTATTAGCACAAGCCTTATTTACCTTAATTTTTAAAATTTACATCATAAATTTCAATCAGCTATAGAAAAACACTTTCTAAAACCTCTTAAGACATAAAACCTGCAGTTTTATGGAAGGATGTAAATGTTAATGTATGGCATTGTCCAAATGATTTGCTAACATGGGAAAGAGGATATGCTTATGTTCACACCCCCTCAGGCCCTCCTTGGATTCCAGCACGATGCATTAAACCATACCATGGCATGGCTAGGACCCAACCTGGTACTAGAAATGAAGGAAATGACCCTGCAAGACCCACAGTCCCAGACAATGTGGCTTCCTCAGATGACACAAGCCCCGAACATCACCTGGGGGATGCTGACAAAGACAACTCAGGAGGCTGAGTGAATCCTGCACTGGATACAGACACCATTCACCATTCACTCCACATAATTTGTTCCTTGCTATGCTCTCTGTTGTACATTGCAATTTGCATACGGTATTGATCCTTTTTATGCTCTCATTTTGTCTGCAACCCGTACCTGCTACATTCTATTGGCCTCATCTCTTAGATCCACCCTTCTTCCACTCTGTTACCTGGGCGGACACCCCCTTCCCAGCCTCTAATAATATAACTGCTTGGCTAGGAGGGATTGACTTACTCTCAATGGGGTCCCTCATTAATGACATGCATTGGACTAAGGTGCCAGGTAAAACTACATATCACTCCACTATCCTCCCACTGTGTGTAAGTTATAAAAGTTCTAACCCTTACTGTATACCTGCCCAAACACAATTATGGCTACATAAGGGCAAAGGAAATGTCTTAACATTCTTTGTTGAAGGTAGCCTCAAACTGGGCAATGCAACTAATGCCACTTTCTCCAACATTCCTTCTTGTGCAAAAGGATGTAGCCAGAAAAGTAATGAATTCCACTATGGCTGAGAGGTCTACCACAGGGGAGAAGCCCATAGCCTCCAGTTAGGCAATTATAACATCTTAGACTCCCACTGCCATTTGCAGGGCGACCATACTGATGTCTGCATCCATCGTGGCTTTGATCACAATTTCATAGCCACATCCCATTCCCTTATGATTTGGGCCAATGGGGGGATGGGACATCCCAGACCCCAAATAGAGTCCATGCCACCCTAAAACACTTTACGGCACCTGGGACATCTTAGCACCTCCCTTAATACCTGGCATGGGACATATCATAATTCCAGTAACAACTATACTATGACCGTTATTCATAATCACACAGATCAATGCCTGATTTGCACTACCCATTCATATGTTTTCCTTATGGGAACCAATATTTCCATTACACCCCGAAACTCCACACTTGTGACCTGAGTGCAAGGAGAGGCTTGGTTTGCCTCATGTATCACTAATTACAATATATCTAATTTAAATATTACTAGTGTCATGGTATTAAGGAGACAATCTGAGGCATTCCTACCAGTCAATTTAACACGCAACTGGCAAGGTTCCTCTGCTCTTGCCACCTTAGAACGTGCCCTGTCCCAGGTCAGACACAAAAGATTCATAGGCACACTTATAGCCTTTATAGTCTCAGCCATAGTCATCTTGGCAACTGGTAGTGTTGCTGTGGCCTCTTTTACTGAATCAGCACAAACAGCTACCTTTGTAGATAGCTTGGCCAGAAATGTGTCTAACAAGCTTCTCTTACAGCAGGATACAGATCAAAAGATTCTTACATGCCTGCAAGCCCTCAAGCCTGCCTTGGAATATGTAGGGGAGCGGCAAGATGCACTGGCATTCAAACAGTAATTAAACTGTGACTGGAAGCATAAGCATATCTGTGTCACCTCTCAACCTTGGAATCAATCAATACGTAGTTGGGATAAGGTGAAACAACACCTCTGGGGAACCTTACAGGATAATTTAACAGCAGATGTAAGGCAACTTAAGACTAAAATTCTAGAATCCCTAAATGCCATAGTCTATACACCCAACAAACAGCCATATGGAAGGATGTGAGAGAACATCTCTCTTGGATAGACCCCCGCTCCTGGGGGTCACTTCTTGATTGGAAAAGAATATTGCTGATTATACTCATGTTTGTCTTATGTTATTTAGTAATTCTATGTTGCAAAGCCAGAATACAAGTTATAATCACTGTGCTTGACAAACCTGTTGCTGCACACATCTGTACTCTTCAATCAACAAAACCTGATGCAAAACAAACAAACAAAAAACAGAAAAGAGGGAGATGAAGGAGATTGGTCAGGGTGGTGGGAAAAATTATATGAAAGATGAAAACTTTCTTGGAAGGCTGGAAGATTTTGAAAAAGCTTCAGGAGAGGATTAAGCTGAAGGCAGCTAATTCTCTTATCCAGAAACTGAGAGCAAAGGGTAGATAATAAGGGAATGTAAAGGAACTTATCTCGATAAATCTGTTTACTTATGTCTCCAGAAACCAACCTTTGATCATTCGCTGCAGGACTGCTCTCTACTGGGGGGGTCGGCAATGTTAATTACCCACAAATTGTGTTTGCACCAAGCCTTTGTCATTAAATCTGTACTAAATAAATGCAATCATCTTTGGCTTAGGGGGGCTGCTGCTGTTGCTGCTGCTGCATTCTCATTGGTGGTGCTGCACTCTCATTGGTGGTGCTAAGCAGTGCAGTCCCCTAGACAGGCTGTCAGGCAAAATACCTGTGTCAGCATACTTCTTTCATCTGTTACTCAGCCAGAGTCTGCCAGACAGATTTGGCAGCACTTAGGAAAGGGGATGGGGAGAAAATTGGTCAGTGGAGCAGTCAGAACACACATAATATTTGTCAATTAAGTTGACAGTCTTAATGAGCATCATTTATTGTACCTCAAAACAATTATAATAGAAACATCAATGATCACTGATCACAGATAATCATAACAGGTATAATAATAATGAAAAATTTTGAAATATTATGAAAATTACAAAAATGTGATACAGAGACATGAAGTCAGCACATGCTTTTGGAAAAATGGAGTCAATAGACTTGCTTGATGCACGTTGCCACAAAACTTTATTTTATAAAAAATCAATGTTTGTGATGTGCAATAAGGTGTGGAAAAATGAAGTATGATATGATTTGGCTGTGTCCTCACCCAAATATCATCTTGAATGTAGTTCCTATGATCCCCATGTGTTGTGAGAGAGACCTGGTGGGAGGTAATTGAATCATGGGGGTGGTTATCTCTATGATATTCTCATAATAGTGAGTGAGTTATGAGATCTTATGTATAAAGGGCTTCCACCCACACTCTTCACTTTGTGCTCTGCTTTGCTACTGCCATGTGAAGGAGGAAGTGTTTGCTTCTCCTGCCATGATTGTAAGCTTCCTGAGGCCTTCCCAGCCCTGCAGGATTGTGAGTCAATTAAGGCTCTTTTCTTTATAAATTACCCATTCTCAGGTATTTCTTCACAGTAGCCTGAGAACAGACTAATACAGAAAATTGGTATCATGAGTGGGGTACTGCTTTAAAAGTAGCTCCAAATATGGAAGCTACTTCAGAACTGGGTAACAAGCAGAGGTTGGAACAGTTTGGAGGGCTCAGAAGAAGACAGAACAACGTGGGAAAGTTCAAAACTTCCTAAAGACTTGGAGGGCTCAGGAGACAGAGAGATGTGAGGCAGTTTGGAACTTTCTTGAGACTTGTTAAATGGCTTTGTCCAAAATGTTGAAAGTCATATGGACAATGAAGTACAGGCTGATACGGTCTCAGATGGAGATGAGAAACTTGTTGTGAAATCAAGTGAAAGTCACTCTTGTTATGCAAAGAGACTGGCAGCATTTTGCCCCTGCCCTAGAGATCTGTGGAACTTTGAACTTGAGGCAGATTACTTAGAGTATGTGGTGGAAGAAATTTCTAAGTTGCAAAGCCTTCAAGATGAAACAGAGCATAAAAGCTTGGAAAATTTACAGTCTGATGATGTGATAGAAAAGAAAAACCCATTTTCTGAGGAGAAATTTAAGAAATTTGCATAAGCAATGAGGAGTCGAATGTTATTCACCAACAACATGGAAAAAATGTCTTCAGGACATATCAGAGACCTTCATTGCAGCCCCTCCTATCACAGCCCTAGAGGCCTAGGAGGAAAAAAAATGCTTTCATGGACTGGGCCCAGGAACTCTTGCTCTGTGCATCTTCAGGACATGGTGCCATGTGTCTCAGTTGCTTCAGGTCCATCCATGGGTAAAAGGGTCCAAGGTCAACTCATACCACTGCTTCAGAGGGTGCAAGCTCCATGCCTTGGCAGTTTCCACATGGTGTTTGTCCTGCAGTTGCACAGAAGACAAGAATTTAGGTTTGGGAACCTCCACCTAGACTTCAGAAGATGTATGGAAATGCGCGATGTTCAAGCAGAAGTTCGTTGCAGGGGCAGAGCCCTCATGGAGAACCTCTGCCAGGGTAGTACAGAAGGGAAATGTGGGGTTGGTGCACCCACACAGGGTCCCAACTGGCACACTGCATAGTGAAGTTGTGAGAAGAGGGCCACCATCCTCCAGACCCCAGAATGGTAGATCCACTGACAACTTGCACTGTGTTCCTGGAAAAGCCACAGACACTCAATGTGAGCCTGTGAAAGCAGCCAGGAGACTTGGCTGTATCCTGCAGAGCCACAGGGCAGGGCTCCTGAAAGCTGTGGAAGCCCACCTCTTGCATCAGTGTGCCCTGGATGTGAGACATGGGGTTAAAGGAGGTCATTTTGGAACTTTAAGATTTAATGACTACCCTATTAGATTTTGAACTTGTATGGGGCCTGTAGCCCCTTTGTTTTGGTGAATTTCTCCAATTTGGAGTGGATGTATTTACCCAATACCTGTACCCTCATTGTATCCAGGAATTAACTAATTTGCTTTCAGTTTTACTGGCTCATGGGCAGAAGACACTTGCCTTGTCTCAGATGAGACCTTGGACTTGATATTTTCAATTAATGCTGAAATGAGTTCAGACTTTGAGAGACTGTTGGAAAGGCATGATTGTGTTTTGAAATGTGAGAACATAATATTTGGGAGGGGTTAGAGGGAGAATCATATGGTTTGGCTGTGTCTCCACCCGAATATCATCTTGAATTGTGTAGTTACCACAACATGTCATGGGAGGGACATTGTGGGAGGTAATTGAATCATGGAGGTAGTTACCTCCATGCTATTTGCATGACAGTGAGTGAGTTCTGACAAGATCTGATGGTTTCATAAGGGGCTTTCCCCCACTTCACTCTGCACTTCTTGCTGCCACCATGTGAAGAAGGATATGTTTGCTTCCCCTTCCTCCATGATTGTAAGTTTCTTAAGGCCTCCCTAGCCCTGCAGTGCTGTGAGTCAATTAAACCTCTTTCTTCTGTAAATTACTCAGACTCAGGTATTTCTTTATAGCAGTGTGAGAACAAACTAATACAAAGTATGCTTGTATATCAGAAGAAAAATAATAGTGTGTCCTTTTTCTTATTAGCAATATTATGCAACACTTTACAATTTGAAGTTCATTTTGATTATTTTGATAATTTTAAAGAAATATTCACTTTGCACCTAATTTTTTACTCCTATGTTTGTATTCTTTTTAAGACCAAAGGTCTTTCAAATTTTATAAATTTAGATCCCACAAAATCTGTATAGGCTTGTTGGTGATTATGGGTAGTATGTTTGTAGATATGTTTATATTATTTTTATTTATATTTTATTCATTTCAGAGAAGTGAAAATATATTTTTGAGAAGAGTTAATTGGAAATAGACATGTAGTATTAACCTGTTTCCTTGGGATGTGGAATTTCTTGTAGGAGAAGAGATGGACTTTCTTTAAATAGGAGAATAATTGTTCCCAGAAATTACAAATGAGAAAATAGCTATTTGTCTTCTGGCCCTGAATTTACAGCATTCATTTAATACATCTTTGAATAAAGTTAGCTTTTCTTGATAAGCCTTGCAGCTTATCACCTGCTTCAGCATTTATATAACATACCTTAGAAATGTATTCACCCTGATGCATCCATAATAAGTAACAGGACAATGTGATATGAGCAGTATTGACATTTGTCTTCGTTAAAAACAAAACCAAATCCCTAGCAAAACAACAACAACAACAACAAAACTAACCTTTGAAATTGTTAGATGAGTTACATTTGTAGCTCAAGCCAGTTTTGACTGTGGAACATTATCAACAATTGAAAGTCTCAGCCAGGTGCGGTGGTTCACGGCTGTAATCCCAGAAATTTGGGAGGTCGAGTCGGGTAGATCACCTGAGGTCAGGAGTTAGAGACTAGCCTGGCCAACATACCAAAACCCCATCTCTACTAAAAATGCAAAAATTAGCAGGGCATGGTGGCAAGCTCCTGTAGTTCCAGCTACTCCGGAGGCTGAGGCAGGAGAATTCCTTGAACCCAGGAGTCAGAGGTTGCAGTGAGCTGAGATCGTGCCACTGCACTCCAGCCTGGGTGACAGAGTAAGACTCCCTCTCAAAAAAAAAAAAAAGTCTTCTCACTAAAGTACCACATGATCACAAACAGAATTATGAAGGCACATCTAATAGGCAGTCCCGAGATGTTTATTATTTTTTGATTTTCTCTTTTTTTCAAGTTTTTAATTTATGACCATATTGGTCTATTAGTATGTTGAGGTTTTGCAAATCAATTTCAGTACTTTACAGTGATATTTGTAGGTGTTTAGATCATTGACATTGTAGACAATCAAAGCATTTTATTTCTCTTATTTTCTTCTCATTGTCATTAAGTATTTGTCCTGAATAGGGAAAAAAATGCAAACAAATAATTTTTATGTCCTGAATTCCAAAATAGTGCTTTTTTCTAACTTGTAGTGTAAAGTCATCAATGTGCTTCATTTTACTTAATTTATATATCTCGTATTTTATTCTGCTTCTGGTTTGTTTTGCTATCTTAGTAAGAAAACAATAGTTTTAAAGTATTCAAAGGGATAATTTTGAAAGGAAAGATATAAAAAGTTGTTTATGTTATAAATGGAAAAATTAAATGGCAATAAGTTTTCACTACCAGACAAGCATTTAATACCTGCTACCTTAAGCTAGAAGGATATTGACATCCAAAGTTTTAATTATAAAACTTAAAAGTGTTGTGTTTGGGAAATAGTTTTCTATGGTAATACAATTAATGAAATTTTAAGCTGTGACTAATAAATATTTAATAATGATTATATAAGAGTTTATTCTCCCTTGAGTATTCTCGATGTGTACAATATAAAACAAGTGCTGTAACGTTCTGCAGACACCAGAGCTTAATAATTTTTACTGAGCTTGACATTATTCATCTGGAATCAAGTCACTTGCATTGCTATAGCTTTGGAAACCTTAATCAGAAGTTAGAGAATTTATAGTACAAGTAATATTATATGGTACATTCATGATAAGAAATTATTTGGTTTCATTATGTTGAAATATGAATATTATACTTTCAATGTTTTGGGATTCAAGAATAATTTATTAGAACAGGGAAAATAGAGATGACAAAACAAAAACAAACCCCAAATACTTCTGCCTCAAGCAATTTTACTACCTGACAACTCAATTTTTTGTTTTATCTATTAAAATCATTATAATTGCAACTATACCTGTTAGATTAACAATAGAAGTCTCTCTAAAAACAGAACTTGACACCTTGTTGAATATCCTTCTTTTTTTCTTTCAGTTTTGAATAAATTATTCTTTCTCTAAAAATTATGAATATGAGAAATATCTATATTTTAATCTTCAAATTTTTCTAAGCAAAGATATATTTGGATTTGTAATTGGAGAAACTTCTTATACTGGTATCATGCTTTTTCCTGCTTATAGTCCAATCTCCATATCACCCCCAAAGTGCATATCTGATTGAATATGAAGCAAGGAGTTGTTTGCTAATTAAATAGGTACTTCTGAATGAAGCCTGTCTTTTCCTTTACCCTGTGACTTAGGTGTTTTATATTTCAAACCTGGTGTTTTACTACCCTTGTGGAACCTATAGTTGTGATAACCATCTCTGCTCTCTGAAAAATATTTTTCTTAGGCATTTCCAGGTTTATCTCAGACATATATGCAAAATTGTATCTTCCAAGTCTTAATGGTCTATATTGACACCAGAGTCAGTTTATGTAACGTTTTCTTGGTTTATTCATTTGTTTTTGGTTTTTAAATTCTTAGCTCGATAACAACAAGCATTTCTTCCTATGAAAGTAGTGGTAGATACTTTATTCGGCTAAAGATGTCCATAATTCTATTTTCTTCCTTTAGTTCTTGTACTAGTCAGAGATGCATATGCTGTCCTATTAAATTCCCTGTTCCTGGGTTAGTCCTACTACTAATTCTTTTCTACCATTTGATTCCCTCAAATCTACTTTTTTTTCTCTATGAGTGCTCACAACTCCTTTTGCAAGAAAGAGAAACTTACAACAAGTGTCTCTAATCTCGCTGTCATTTTAACACACTTTTAAATCTCTATGGGGTGTAAAAAGAAATCAGGGCTAAATATGTAATATTCCAAAGCTATATGAAAGAATGGGTCATTTACATGATCTATTGTACCCAGAGAAATGAAAAGAAATTTCATGTCACACCTACTGGCCCAAGTAATCTGTGAAGCTGCCCTGAAAACAGTACTTTAATGATTCTTTATTATCCTGACTTTCATAGATTTCAGAGATAGTGTAAATATATTTGTGCTCTAGTTACTATCTAGTCTACCTACATGACTAATGATATACAATTATATTTAGATCATAAATAATGCCTGTCTAGTGATGAGCATTAATTTGCTCACAAAGTGAAAAAATGCCATTTTTGAATTTACATTTCTGATCTAACTCAACACCTTTAACTATATTTTATTTAGTAAAGAGTAGACAATTAAAAATGAGACCACAATTTAAAAAATTATGCATCTCATCCCAATTTCAATATTGTCTCTCTTCCAATACTGTAAAAGAGAATATTTTCACTGCCTCTTACCTACTTACCCCTTCACAGAATTTGGTGTTTTAATTTAACACATCTTTAGAAATTGTTTTTAAAGTCAATAATTATCTTTCATAAGTTGCTTACACAAACAAATATTCTTTGACATGTCTGGAGAGATGACATGTGTTTGTTGGTGCAATTGAAAATATGCCATGTTTAAACATATTTTTAATACAATATGATTTAACTTCTTCACCTAAAATTTTACTTTCAGTGGATCAGAGCTTTCAGCACTAGATTACATATATAATTTACCTATATAGATTTCTTTGTACTCTTTCTATGTGAAAGACTATACAAAATATTTAAATGGGGATTAATGATTAGTCAATATTTCAAGAATATTTGTATTCCAAAAACACCCTTAAGTTATTCAGGTAATTGTAAATATGTTGTTTTTAGGGGAATTCAGAAAATGCATTACTATTAATAAAATAAATTATCAGTATTTCAGGAATTACACTTTCTGAGTGAGACAATGTTCCAATATACCTATAAGATGCAATAAAGCTTAATTGATTTTGTCCTAAAATGTAATACAAAATATTCCAAGTTTATAGAATTATATCCACTTAGTAATCTGAAAGAATAAAATTTTATAAAAATCTGGTTCTAATTAATTTCTTTTTTTCTGGTAAGGCTGTGGCATACTTGCTGTTTATTAAATGCTACTACTTATTGTCAGAATATTATTTCCCCTTCTTAGATTCTCATTTAATTATCAAATATTAATTGTGTTATTATTTCTTTCTTGTTTTTTCAAACCTTCGCTGGGCTTATGTCAGTTCAGGACTCCAGTTTATTCTGTCAATCTGTGTTTTTTACCTTTCTGAGAGCTGGATGACTATCTAGAGTAATTTTCTTATTGTACTTGTGTTACCAGAAAGGGGCCAATTGAGCATGTAGTAGACATGAGACATTTTGCATATGACAATATATATAGATGTTATTACCTTCCTGTTGAGAAAGTTTATGAGGTTGACTCTCAAAGAGGCTAAGTTACTTACTGAAGGTAACTTTTCCAATTAGTACACCAAGTAGGTTTCTTTGGAAAATTAGGTTTGAGATTTGACACTGTAAGAACTAAACCTCCTCATTTACTTCAGCAACACAACTAATTTCTTTGAGTACAGTGGAGCTTATTTTCTTTGAAAGGTCTGGACAAATACACTTGTGACTTGAAACAGGAAAGCATTTCTGGAATATGTAAAACTTGAGACAAGTTGGTGAGTCTATTTGTTTATGAAGCATCACAAAACTATGTTAGAGATCAGCTTGTGTGTTTTACAGTTTAAAAATGTTCATATTTGTAACTGTAGGAATAGAGCATGTTTAAATGTATATACATATTTTATAGTATGACAAAATAATTAGTTTCATGTGAATTACATGTTTGACAAGTACTGTGCTCCTGAGCAGTTCAGAAAGCTAAAAATTACTTCTGAGTAATTATTTTTATATGTACTTAGAATTATGTAAGAACTAATTTTACTGCATAAAGCCACAATTACAAATTAGCATGGAATGCAACCATGACTATTTTGCTTGCTTGTGGATTGATGAGGGGAAATAAAGAAGAGAGGATGGGAGATTATGAGTTACTTTTTCTGCTCCAAAACGTTCATAACCAGCAAAGTAAATATTTGAAACTTCTTACTATTTATTAATAAACACTTTCTTTAAAATGCACACACATTTCTTATATAAGGAATTTGATAATTATGCATATTCAACCACTGCAAAAAGAATTCACCATAAATGCACTAGAGGCTTAATTAGATTTCAAGTAAGCAACTATTTCTTAAGTTTCCCTTGGTGCATAAAATCTGTCCTGGACTACTGAATAATTGTTGAAAGAGTTAAACATGAATTAAGATGGCATTAGTCACCTGTTTAACTAAAGGTTAAGGTCATGAGGAGTAGATGTTTTGTCTTTAACACTATGGCATACACTATATAAATAGGATGCTCAAAATAATATGAATAAATTTGTGTAACACTATTAAAAAAATAAGCTGCTTCATCTCTGCTTACCTTCTCCATTTGCTTCAAAAATACCTTACTTAACATCTTAAAGAAAGATTTATTTTTGACTTTCCATTACGTTTTTATAGGAAGTAGTTCAGGAATAGACGTTTATATTTTACAAGGTTTTTGATGGCAAGGCAAAATTAATTTCCTCAATATTATTAGTATCTCTGATGTTAAAAAGGGCATTAAATAATATTCATGAAATTTTCCTTTTTTATGTCCCTATACAGTAACTTTATTAAATATACAAAAAAGTCCAACCAATACAACATATGTTGATTTGAATTATAATTATTTTTCCAAGTCAGTTAAAGTTAATAATTGCATAATAAAATACCATATTCTGTACTTACTTTCTTTGTAATATCCAAAAAGCTGATGGTGTTAGTATTTCAGCAAAATGAAACTAATAAAGAGTTCCAGAACATTGATGAAAAGTACCAATTTAAAAGATATACATTAGAATTTCATCTTCTCAATGGCATTAGTGTTCATTTTTGAGTTTTAAATATCAAGCAACACATTATTTCTCTTTGCCTCTATAATTAAGTATTTTTCAGCTTCAAATTATGCTAGAAATAATTGATTGAGTGTCATTGTAATCTAAAAGAAACAATAAGTCAAATGTTCAACAGACCGAAGTATTATAATTAAAAGACAATTTTTCCCCCTGTTAAGATAAAGTGCTGATTCTGCTAAATAACCACTTAGAATTAATATCTGATGGTGAATAACATTAGTAATGCAATTTTAATTGAGCACATCTATTTTTTTCAATAGAATTGTTTTCAATGTATTATTATATAGGTTAGAGAAGACAGAAATCCGACATTTTTCAGTCAATACAAGATATAAATGGTATAAATGTATATTTTATTCTTTTAACATATTTCCTTCTTTACTGATCCAAAGGTATTAGTGCAGTTCAGTACTAAGTCACATAAAACCTAATTGAGGGTTGCCTAAAAGTATTTCAGCAATAAACCAATGACATAAAAGTTAACTTTACTCAACATAGTGGATCTTGAAAATATTTGTTACTATTTTTTTTTTTTCCCCAGTGGAGTCTTGCTCTGTCGCAGAGGCTGGAGTGCAATGGCACGATCTCCACTCACTGCAACCTCAGCCTCCCACGCTCAAGCAATTCTCCTGCCTCAACCTCCCTAGTAGCTGAAATTACAGGCGTGTGCCACTACACCCGGCTGATTTTTGTATTTTTATTAGAGATGGGGTTTCACTATTATATTGGCCAGGTTGGTCTCGAACTCCTGACCTCAAATGATCTGCCCACTTCGGCCTCCCAAAGTTTTGGGATTACAGGCGTGAGCCACTGTGCCCGGCCTTTTGGTGGTTTTTAATGAGGTGAGAAGAGCAGAAAGGCTATGTACATATTAAACAAGTATATCAAGGGATATTTCGAGGCTAGCTACATTTCTAAGATGATCATTTTTTTTAAAGTTAATAAACACTTCATAAGAGTGGAAAATTTCATAACAAGTTCCCCAAATTTCCTGTTAACTCATTGGAGTTTGATTAACCTCAAGGAAGAAATATCTCATTTTCATGATTCTCTTGGCGCATTTCGATGTCTCATAAAATGGGGTGACCAACATGTTTGGTAAATATAGCTATTGGACAAGCCAGTAACTAGAAGTTTCTCTTTCCCTGTCTCGTGTGTGTGTGCATATATAGCCTATGCCTCTTCAAATCTGGTGTATTGACATCTTACTGTGTTTTCTAGACTCAAGCTTATACTAAACAAACAAAAAGTAATAAACACACTTTGATATTTCTCCAGCTTATAAATTTCAACTTGTGGGTTGATTCTAAGACCACATCTTTCCAAGGGTAGTTTTGTTATTCAGGTTGAAGCCAATTTACCCTATATGTAAAGGCTGCTGTTAAAAAATAAGAGAAATAAAAACGAAATGAATATTTGTTAATTTGTCTCAAGGTTTGGGATTAAGCTTGACATATAAGAAGCCTAGATTTTGGTTCCTGTAGAATAATGATTAATTATTATACAAAAATACTGTTTGTCTACTGACTATAAGACACTTTGACAGGTAGTGATTAAGAATGGAAAGCCAAATTATAAAATATATGTATTTGCAGATATTTCACAAGTCTCAAGGAGATGGGGTGGAGAAGGCAACACGTAGTAAAACATGTACCTAGTATGACATCCTAAGCACTATAAACAGGAAATAATCAAAAGAAAACAAAAGATATTCTATTTCTGAACCAAATTAAAGCTAGAAAATAGAAATACATATAACACTTGAATAATGGGAATTATTGTAGCCTACAATGGAAAAACAAGATCAATTATTTGAAACATCTGATTTTTTTGGAAGACAGGAAGGCTGTGGTGTTGCAAGCTTAAGTGAACTGTAAAAATTCATGCCAAAATTAATATTTAATAAGGTAAAAATATTTTTAAAACTTCATTTTTATAAAGAAAATCCATAGATTTTAGACAGTCACATGAGGCCTGATATTCTCTAAAAAACTGATTGATTTCTTTGCAAAAGTAATATTCTCAGTAGTATTCTTTTTATCTGGTAAATGTGAGAGGACCTGTTGTATGCTTAAAGTGATAATTTCAGGCCATATCAAGGGGCTAGGACGACGTCTTTATGGAACTAATACGGAAAGCCCAGGCAAGCGATGCACAGTCCTATAGTGAAGAAGCTTTGATGTCTGTATTGCATCTGTTGGAAACATCCCTTGCCAGGACTAGAATGTTTTCATTATGAAAGCACTATAATGATACTTTCTATACAACGTGTTCTTATTCTTCCTTCCACTCATTGTTCTCAGGGTTCCTCCTACTCCTTTATTTAAAAATTACATTGACTATATTTGTTCTTTGACTCTTCCATTTGAACTTTAGGATTAGCTTACAAAATTTTTCAGAAAAACAGTTCTGCTGTAAATTGCATAAAAATTGTATTAGATTTATCAAATAACATGGAAAGAATTAGACTTAGAAATTTTTGTTCTGTTTTGCTCACTGAGATTCCCTAATTCCTCAGAAAAGGGCCTGACACTTAGTCAACTTTAATAATTGTTGGATCAATGTTAGATCTTTTCGATATCAATTTTTCCCACCCATGAACATGGAAAATCTTTTCATTTATTTAGGAAGATTTTATGTTTTTAATTATAATTATACAAAAGATCTTGAAAGCATCAATCTCTAGGTAACTTACAATTTTTGTTGCTACTATAATTGCGTCTTTTCAAATTACATTATATGAATGTTTGCTGCTGGTTTATAAGGTCATAACTGACAAACTGTCTTGTTAATTGTATTTGTAGATGTCCAGTAATTTCCTGGATAGAAATTTTATTATCTGCAAAGAATGATATCACATCACAAGGTAATTATATTATAAAATCTCTGCAATTTGCTAAAGTTAGTGAAACTTAAGTTAGGGAATATAACAAAAGAGAATATTGGGATTTGAGAAGAAGCAAAAAGTAGAAACAAGATCACAAGAGAGTAATAATATAAATTTATATTCAATTCTTCCTAACAGAGAGGCCAGTTTTCCCAACTGTAAAACATGTGAGCAAGGCTGAAGAATAATGTCTGCCTTTTTAACCTAGAATATTTTATATTGGAGATACACACAACACACACACACACACACACACAGCCTCCACCTCCCGGGCTCAAGCTATCCTTCCACCTCTAACTCCTGGGTAGTAGGGACCACAGGTGCACGCAATTACATCCAGCTATTTTGTCGTTATTATTATTATTTGTAGAGATGAAGTATTGCCATGCTGCTTAGGCTGGTCTTGAACTCCTGGGCTCAAGTGATCCTCTTGCCTTGGCCTCCCAAATTGGTGGGATGACAGGCATAAGCCACCACACCCATCCTGCAACTGATTTTTACTATCTCTCTTTTCTACTACCCATTCTGAACTCTTTTTGCTCTTATCTAGCACCTCTGCTGGTCCAGATGGGGTGGAGCAACAGAGCCCTCAGCTTTGAGTTGTTTGAGTTATCTGGAACATATACATCTTACTATGGCCTGTAACATACTTGTTGCTTTCAGCACATCTGGTGCAATTAAAATAATGTCATTCATAGAGTAGATCAATGATGTCATTCATACATACTGTGATTTAAAAAATGTTATTTATACATATGTCCTGCAGGATGTCCAGGTAATCCAGTTCCCTGTGCACTATATTACTACACATGCCAAAAGAGTTAACACTACCCTTGAGCAAGAAGGTAAGTGTTTATGCCTTTCTACCCAAAAATAATGCAAACTGTTTCTGACCTTTTATTCTAATAGAAATGGAAAAACAAATGTTATATTAGTGATTGCCAGATAGTACCATACCATGTACCTGGGAATATGTTAACGTGTTCTAGAAAATACATAGCATCTGGCATGGCAATATTTATTGAGATTACAATTTATTGGGTTGATTTTGTAGTAGTCTATTGGCATTCATGAGCCTTTCAAATTTTTAAGAGTGACACCAGTTTCTACAAAATCCATCAAGATTATGTAAATATATGTGTATCCAAGAGAATAAAATACCTAGGAATACAGCTAACAAGGGAAGTGAAGGACCTCTTTAAGGAGAGCTACAAACCATTGCTAAAGGAAATCAGACAGGACACAAACAGATGGAAAAACATTCCATGCTCATGGATGGAAGAAATATCAAAAAAATGGCCATACTGCCCAAAACAATTTGTAGATTCAGTGCTATTCCCATTAAACTACCATTGACATTCTTCACAGAATTAGAAAAAAACTATTTAAAAAATCATACAGAACGACAAAAAAGCTCATATAGCCAAGACAATCCTAAGCAAAGAGAAGAAAGCTGAAGGCATTATATTGCCTGACTTCAAACTATACTACAAGGCTACAGGAAGCAAATCAGCATGCTACTAGTACAAAAACAGGCACATAGACCAATGGAAAGAATAGAGAACTCAGAAATAAAACCACACATCTCCAACGATCTGATCTTCAACAAACAAGACAAAAACAAGCAATAGGGACAGGAGTCCCTATTTAATAAATGGTGCTGGGAGAACTGGCTAGCCATATGCAGAAAATTAAACCTGGACCACTTTCTTATACCTTATACAAAAATTAACTCAAGATGGATTAAATACTTAAATGTAAAACCCAAAACTATAAAAATTCTAGAAGAAAGTCTAGGTAACACCATTCAGGACATAGACATGGGCAAAGATTTTATGATAAAATCACCAAAAGCAATTCTAACGAAAGCAAAAATTGACAAATGGGATCTAATTAAAATAAAGAGCTTCTGGGAGAAAATTTTTGCAATCTATCCATCTGACAAAGGTCTAATATCCAGAATCTACAAGGAACTCACGCAAATTTACAAGGAATAAACAAACAACCCCATTAAAAAGTGGGCAAAGGACATGAACAGATATTTCTCAAAAGAAGACATTTATGCAGCCAACAAATATATGAAAAAAAGATCAATATCACTGATCATTAGAGAAATGCAAATCAAAACCACAATGAGATACCATCTCATGCCAGTCAGAATGGTGATTATTAAAAAGTCAAGAAACAACAGATGCTGGTGAGGTTGCAGAGAAATATGAAAGCTTTTACACTGTTGGTGGGAATGTAAATTAATTAAAACATTGTGGAAGACAGTGTGGCTATTCCTCAAAGATTTAGAATCAGAAATACTATTTGACCCAGCAATCCCCTTACTGGGTATAAACCGAAAGGAATATAAATATGGTCATTCTATTATAAAGATATGTACACGCATATGTTCATTGCAGCACTAGTCACAATAGCAAGGACATGGAATCAACCCAAATGCCCATCAATGATAGACTGAATAAATAAAATGTGATACATATACACTATGGAATACCATGCAGCCATAAAAAGAATGAGAACATTCCCTTTCCAGGGACGTGAATGGAGCTGAAAGCCATTATCCTCAGGAAACTAACAGACAAACAGAAAACCGAACACCACATATTCTCACTTATAAGTAGAACCTGAACAATGAGAACATATGGACCCAGGGAGAGGAACAACACAAACTGGGCTCTGTTGGGGGAAGGTGGCAGGGGAGAGCATCAGGAAACATAGCTAATGCTTGCTGGGCTTAATACCTAGGTTGATAGATGCAACAAACCACTATGGCACACATTTACCTATGTAACAAACCTGCACATCCTGACATGTACCCCGGAACTTAAAATAAAATAAAATAAAAATAAATATATGTGTTTGTGTGAGAGAGAGACAGAAAGAGAGAGAGTGTGTGTGTATGAGAAATTTTCTCCTGGGCTTTCTCATTACAAATGCTCTTATATTTTTATATCAGGATTCAAGAAAGTGATGTGAAAATTCTACCACCAAGTATGTTCACTCCAGTTATGGAGTTAGGTATGATGAAAAGTGACCACTTGCTCATTTCCTGGATACAGTGGATTCACTATGTCCCGAACTGAGCTAGGATTCCTTTTATTGCCTTATCATCATGCCTCTGTTATAATGGGGGTTAGGAGGGAAAATGACTCTTTAGTCTCTGAGAATCAATCTTAAAATAGACCATACAGTCCTCAAAGTATTTGGATGTTTCAGTTTCCCCAGTGTATCTTTACCAAAGAATGTGTTTTTCTGACTAAAAATTAGAGAGTCATTTAGAAATTTTATTATAGCAAATTTATTGAGATATAATTCACGTAATATAAAAATCACCCTTTTTAAATGCACAATTTAGTGAGTTTTAGTATATTCAGAAGGTGGTGCTACCATTATATCTTATTCTAGAAAATTTTCATCACCCAAAAAGAAACCCAATACTCATTAGTGATCCCTCCACATTTCCCCTTCCCCCAGTCTGCAGCAAACACTAATCTACTTTTCTTCTCCATGGATTTGCCTATTATGGAGATTTATGTAAATGGAATCACACAATATGCATCTTTTCATGTCTGGCTTCTTTAGTATATTTTCAAGGTTTATTCATGTTGTGATATATATTTGTACCTTATTCCTTTCAATTGCTGAATAATATTCCTTTATATAGCCAATCCCATTTTGTTGATCCAATTTTCAGTTAATACAAATTTTTGTTGTTTCCACTATCTGGCAATTGTGAATAATGATGCTATGAATATTTATGTACAAGATATTGAGTGAACATGAGTTTTAATTTTCCTGGGTATACACCTGGAGTGAAATTGCTAGATCATATGATAAGTCTATGTTAACTTTATCAGAGTCTATCAAACTTTTTTTCCAAAGAGGCTGTATAATCCTAAATTCTGAACAACAAAATTTGAGAGTTCCAGTTGCTCCACATTTTTGCTAATACTTATAATTTTCCATATTTTTATTTACAGCAATATTAGTAGGTGTCGAGTGGTATCTCATGGTTCTTTTCATTTTCTTAAGCATATTTGCATGTGTTATTGGCCTTTGTACACATCCTTTGGAGAGACGTATGTTAAAATTACTTGACCCTTTTTAATTGGCTTATGTGACTTTTTGTTGTTCAGATGAAGAATTTATTTATAGTCTGTATTCAAGTTCCTTATCAGATATATAATTTGCAAATATTTTTCTATTATGTTGGTTATCTTTTTACTTAATTGATAGTATCACTTGAAACACAAAGGGTTTTAGTTTTGGTCAGGCCCAATATATCTATTGTTTTTTTTCTTTTCTTTTCACTGTGCTTTTGATATTTCATTTAAAAAACATTTGGTTAACCCAAGTCAAGAATATTTAACGCTATGTTTTCTTCTAAGGATTTCATAATTTAAAATTCTTAGTTTGTAGTCTTATATTTACATCTCTGATCTATTTTAAGTTAATTTTTGTGTACAGTGTGAGGTAGGAGTTTAACATTCTTCTGTGGCATGTGGATATCTAGCTGTTCCAGCACCAAGTGTTGAAAAGACTATTCTCCATTAAATTGTCTTGGTACCGTTGTTGAAAATCAGTGGATCATAAATTTGAGGGGTTTTTTTGGACATTCAATTATTTCCCAATTATCTATATTTTTATCCTTATGCCAGTAGCATACTCTCTTGATTACTGCAATTTGTAGCAACTTTTGAAATCAGAAAGTGTGAGTTATCCAACATTGTTTTTACTTTTCAAGGATAATTTGGCCTTTCTGGTTTCCTTACATTATTAGATTTAGATTTAGATTTAGATTATCTCAAGCCTCCTGAGTGTTTCCACAATCCTGGGTATATGAACATCTCTGTGCATTTGCATACATAACATTTTATATTTCCAGGAGCTTGTCAGAGTTTTCAAAGGACCTATAGACATATAACTCCCTAATTTTTCATTTTAAGTGGTTTGGCTAGCCTCTTACTAGTCCCAACAGGTGGGGCTGACTGAAGAACCTTTAATATTAAACAATGGCAGCTGACTGTTTTTGACAAATGTGTTGTATATGCATTGTTAACACTGAGTGAAGTCTAAGTTAGGTCAAATAAAGATAAACTGAGTGGTGTTTTCCAGAAAGTTTCCAGGTGGTCAAATAGTGATAATTCCCTGTGATGTGGAGTTTTGGGATCTCCAAACCCATTCAGTTCCTTTCAGTGGCTGATAAGGTACTGGTTTTCATCAGTCATGACAATCATGAGGCCATTGGTTTTCAAGGATAATGCAAAGCCATGGAGAAGGGAATGGGATTAGAGCACATTAAAATAGTGACAAAGTTCAATATTTTACCTAGATTCAGCTATTTTTATTGGATAAGTCTTCCTTCAATTGTTGTAAACATTTAGCTGTTTTCCAGAGTTCTGAAAAAGTTTATATCAGCTTTTTTTTTTTCCTATGCTCTTATTGCTGTTATGGGGCATCAGATTTTTGTAAGTCCTTTCTTTGCCATTCAGGAAGTGTTCCCATTATGATATATACTTGACATGGTGGTTTCCTGTTTTCTTTGTTTGTTTTTAGAAGATCTTCTTTAGCCAATAAATTGTGGGTCTGAATCCCTGCTCCATTTCATAAACAAGGCAATAAATCAAGACATTTAATTGGGATTTATGGCATCAACCTCTATCAACTATTCTTGCTTTATTTTGGTCATATATATTTAGCAGTAAACTTGTTGGCTACCTAGATATCTTACATGTAGGGAAATTATATTCTATCTATTAACAATTTCTGTGGCTCTCTGCTTGTCAGGACATCCAGACCTTATGAGTAATTATGCTAATGGCACTCAGCATGTTTCTGACAGCTAGTTTCTGCCATCTCGCTTCTGTGTTTGAGGTCCTGTTATAACAATTACTGCCAAACAAAACAGTGCTGTATAGTATCTCTTACTGTCAGCACTGTATTATATGAGACCTACAACAATGATCTTCTTAATGATGCTAGGGCCCTTTACCCCAGTGCATATTTATTATGTCGGTAAGCAGAGTCTCCTCTAGGCTCTCTCATGGGACATAGGCAGCAGATGGATTTTTCAGCCTTACATAATATGTTCACTCTAGCATGCTCAACTATATGAGTCTTTTGATCTTTTTCACTATGATTTGCCATGGCAGTCCTATCAATTGTTGTTCACATCAAATTACTAATTGAGGTTCACCATTTTTTCAGTTTTATGAAACATCTTATTATGTCTGCATCATCACCACGAAACATGAAAATAATCTTGAGTAAAGTCGCTTTCTTGACCCAAAGGAACTCCCAGAGATGGACTCATCTGAGAGTCTTGAGTGACAATACTATCTGCCCCTAGATAAATGGATGCTTCAGTCTTGGAGTGTGAAAACAGGGGGGTATGTGTGACACATAACAGTATTTGCTATATCTGTCCAAGGAAATAATTTCATTGTCAGAAAAGTAGGGATTCATTCAAAATAAGTATACTATTTTGATAAGCAGTATATAGTTTGGGTTCTGGACTAGCAACTAGAGTATATTTGCTTTAATCACCCCTAACCAAAATGAAATTATTATGCCACCAATGATATTGGGTTCATTAAAATACATACTACAACATTCAGGAATATGTTACTGGGTTATAAGGAGCTCCATCTGGATCTAAGCAATGAGAACAATCGTAACTCCTAGATCTTAGCATTCAATTAGGTGCAGTAATTGGTAGAGTCCTGGACAAGTCTACTTTTCAGAAAGTTAAGCATGGTTTATTTTGTATGCTGGGTTATGGTAGTGAAGAAATTATTTGAATGTTGGTAATTTATTTATCCAAGAAACATTAAATTCAAAATTACCAATATAAAGAGTATTGTGAATGAGAAGGGCACAAATTTTTGAGAGGGCATATTAAGAATATTTTACCCAGTTTAAAAGTCAGACAATACATTCCTGAGGAATTGAAAATTGAATTGAAATCTGTGGGATCTAAGGTTGCAACATGAAAACGGGGAGAAAAAGCATGCTGTTCATAATGAAAAGTATGAAGTATGTGCAAAGATCCTATTTTGTGAGGGAATGGTACATGCTAAAAACAGAAAGAAGCCCTGTGACTCTGGAATAGAAAGACCAAGTGACAGAGGTGGCAAAACATTAAATCATGGATATAGATAGGACCAGACAATGTGGGACATTTTAAGCACTGTCTGAGATTTTGGTTGCTGAGTGATATTATTTGATCTTCAGAAAAATTACTTTGGCTGCATTGACAAAGAGAAACTGGAGGACAGAGTAGAAGATGCTAGACACGAAACTGGCTCCTGGGCCAATGTGGCAGTCCAGGTGTGAGGGTGAGGCTGGTTTTTGTAGTAACAATAAAAGTGAAATAATATTAAAGAATTTAAGGCCGGGCGCGGTGGCTCACGCCTATAATCCCAGCACTTTGGAAGAATGAGGCGGGCGGATCACGAAGTCAGGAGATGGAGACCATCCTGGCTAACATGGTGAAACCCCGTCTCTACTAAAAATACAAAAAATTAGCCGGGCGTGGTGGCGGGCCCCTGTAGTCTTAGCTACTCCGGAGGCTGAGGCAGTAGAATGCGTGAACCCAGGAGGCGGAGCTTGCAGTGAGCCGAGATTGTTCCACTGCACTCCAACCTGGGCGACAGAGTGAGACTCCGTCTCAAAAAAAAAAAAAAAAAAAAAAAAGAATATAAGATTTACCTAGGTAGTGAATTCTACAGGACCTAGATATACACTGAACATGATGAGTAAAAGAGAGGAGATAGTGGTCACTGGGTCATGATGGATGGGGATTGTCTTAGTCTGTTTGGGCTACTATAACAAAATATCATAGATTAGGAGACATATAAACAACAGAAATTTATGTCTTATGATTATGGAAACTGGGAAGTTCCAGGACAAGGTATTGGGCAGATTTTGTGTCTGGTCAGGGCTTGCTTTCTGATTCACAGATGGCAGTCTCTTTACTGCATCCTCACATAGCAGAAGGGGTGAGAGAGTTCTCTTGGTCCTTTTTAATAAGGACACTAATCTCATCAGAAGAGCTGTGCTCTCATGACCTAATCACCTACCCAAATCCCTACCTCCTAATACTACCACCTTGAGGGTTAGAATTTCAACGTATGAATTTTGAGGGGACACATATATCCAGAACATGGCAGTGATGTTACACCCTGAGACTGGTTCAACTGAAAGAGAACTGTGTAAATGCACGCAGATATGCTTGATGAAAGAAAGAGGGAAAAATAACATTTTTAACTAGGAACATATTTAATTAAAAGTGCCTCTAAGATAGCCAAAAGCAATTTTCAACATGGCAGTTTGATGCAATCATAGCTCAGAGGGGATGCTTTAGCTGTGGGTCCAGATTTTCAGCCATCTCTGTATATTTTAAGATATAATTGTGGATGAGATTGCTTAGGGATAGAATGTAAAATGAGGAAAGAGGAGTAGACCAAGCATGAAAATTCCTGATGCTCCAATATCTAATAGTTGGAATAAAACAGATGAAAATGCAACAACACTAAAAAGAAATTGGCCAGAGATGGCAGAAAAATCGAGACAATGTGGAGTCACTTTTGTCGAAGGAGGACTTCTTCAAGAAAGGAGAGGCGTGATCTTTGAAGTCAAATTCTACTAAGATGTCAAGTTAGATACAAACTAGAAATATATATATATTTTATATAAATAAATATATATTTTTTAAATATATATATTTTTTAAATATTTTAAATATTTTAAATAAATAAATAAATATATATATATTTCTTTGATTTAACAAGAAAGTTGTGTGTAACCTTAGCAAGCACTGTTTTGGTAGATTGATTTGAGAAAGATCAGACTGAGCTGAAGAAGAAGTGAAAGAAAAAGTGGAGACAGCAATTTTAGGAACTGTTTTATTCAGAAACCTGCATTCAAAAGAGATAAGAGGAAAAGGGTAGCTGGATAGCTGAAGTATGATAGTCAAGATAAGCGTTTTTGTTTGTGTGTTTGGTAGTGTGCGTATGTGTGTGAGAGAGGTGAGAATAGGAAGGCAGGGAACATTTGTCGCTTTGTTTTACTCAGCAGCCCTTTTTTCTTCATATGGGAACAACACCCTTCCCTTTTGGCAGAATGCCCACCCCACATGCCATGTGTTTCTGCAAGTGCTAGCTAATCAAAGCATCCTAATCTGTGACCACATTGATGCAGTCATTGAGTCTTTGTTGGGGTTATTACATATGTGCATTTTGAGAGGGAGTTTTCTGTTTCTTTCAGTTGTTTTTATGGAATAATGTAAGCCTGGCACCAAGGACTCCTGCTGGCTGCACAAAGGCAGATAAAAGTTAGTGACTGGGAGATGAAATTCAGCCTAAATGCCACTTGTCAAGCCATGTGCCGACACAGGCCTGCTTCCACCAGAGGAAGAGGCACACTTTTCTCTGATGAGTCCAGCTCATATGGCTGAGTCTATTTTAAATGGGGTATGATTTTATAATTTCTTTATCTAGACAATTTCATTTTCAGTTTCACAGAAAAGTTTCATAAAAACCACTCAGTGGTGGTATTGATTAAAGCAATCTCTTGCCATTTCCCTGGAATTAGTTCATAGAGAAACATGCACAAAGCTTTGTATCAAGTGTATATAGAGTGAGAAGGAAATATGTATGAGAACAGAGAAGTGAGAAAACATCAAACTCTCTGTCTCTCACACAAACACAGAGAGAGAGAGATTTGAATTTATAATCTGTGCCCCTCTCAGACCCGAGACCCAAACCACACCTGTACTTCCCAGTTAATAACAATCAATTTCCTTTTAAAAGTTTCTCCTATTAGACCCCAGGTTGGGTGTCTAGTTTGAGTTAGGATTTTGCCATTTTAAACTAAAACATTCTGATTACTACACTGCATATTTTATAAATGAAAAATTAAATATTGCCATTTCTCTTTGACCTGTGTATGAAAATCACTCTTGTATGGCTTGAGATAAATGTATTTGGAATCAAAGTCAAATCACCTATGTCTTTACCTGCCTGTAACCTAGAAACAGATTTCATCATTTCTCCAGCATTATAAGTTTTTCTTTATGTCATATAGAGTATTATTTTTTTCTTTTTTTCTTATGTAAGAGGGATAACTTCTGGCTAGTTATCCGTTTACTATAGTGCCTTGTTATCCATGGCAATGGTCTATTTACGTGGCCCATTTTTTGTTTTTTGTATTCACAACTGGAGCCACTTTAAGCCCCTTCAAAGATCAAATCTTTCTCCAGTTCCAAGTTCAATCCTGTCGCTATTGATGGTGAAGTTTAAGAACTTTTGCTCAGTAATGTTTGTGTTATTCAGCCCCAAGACGTCCTAGACAATGGATTCTCTGTTCTGTACTCCAATTTTATTAGCTCCACCCTTTATTTCCTGACCAAGAACTTGACATTTATCACGTTGTCAACAAGCATGTCTGTTGGGATGTGAGGAGGATGTTTTTTCCCAGTCTGTCTCCTCTGGTTTCCACAAAATGAGATTATTCTAAGACCTCCTAATCTCTAGCCTATTCCCACATGCACTACTTTCCAAGGGAACTTGGAGTAATTTCTGAGGTGGTGAATTTGGAATCCTAAACCTCAAAGAAAGCAAATTTCTCTGGTCTAGTTCCCTATGCCATTAGTCTTGTATGGGTTGATCTCCTATATGGAAAGCCTATAATATTCCTGCGACTAAATGGCGAAGACTCTATAATTTTGTGTTTCACTAGTAGGATGTCATTTATTCCTGTACCATCCAATCTAGGTCTTATCAGTGATAAAGGAATCTGTTACACTCTTTTCTGTCTATTGTCTCACTTTATATTAAACTCAGCCAGAGAAAGGGGGTATTCTATTGGGACATCCACAATTCTAAACACATTTTCATATTTCATAAGACTAAACCTTTAACTTTTAAGCTTATATTCTTGCCTTGCCTTTAAAGTTGCTTGGCATCACATTCCTACACTTTGCCTGAGTCCTGGTGCCATATTCAGGGGCTCTGTGATGTTTTGACATAGCCTACATTCTTATAGTTCTGCTCATATCCTGATTCTAGCCTTTGTTCAATAGTAAGAATATTTGGCAGTTAACTATTATCTTTTTCTTAGAGATGCTGCCGCCTCATTGCATTCTTTCCCCTTGGCATATCAACTAAACATTTTCCTGATCCTCTAGCAATTCTTGTTCAGTGTCCTTGTCTAGGTCCTCTTCTTCTATTTAAAGTCCAAATATTAGAAGTCTTCATTGTTCTGAGGTCTCTCTTCTCTCTCTGCATTCTCTTCTTAGGTTATTTAAAGGACATCTTTAAGACACTTTGCACTAAATGTATATCTCCAGAGTAGACCACTTTAATATATATCTCCAAAGTAGACCACTTTTTTGAGTTCCATACTCATATGTTTATCTGTTTTTCACCTAGAGTGGAATGTCTTTCAAGACTTTTATTTATTCTTTTTTTGTTTGTTTGTTTGTTTGTTTGTTTTTGAGTCTGGGTCTTGCTATATTGCTGAGACTGGTCTTGAGCGTCTGGCCTTAAGAAATCGTCTTGTCTGGGCCTCCAAACTGCTGGGATTACATGCATGGGCCACCGTGCCTGGCCCTCTCAACACTTTTAAATTTAATACATTTAAAACTGAACTCTTGATTTTCTTTCATACTAGTCGTTTTTCTATCTGTTTTTCTCATCTCCTCAAATATCATTACCATTTACCTTTAGAGCAAATTTGGGGTCATTCTTGGTACTTCCTTCTCTTTAATACCTTAATTACATACATCTCCAAATTCCATTACTTGTTTTTTCTAGTTTCTCAGTTACTTGTTTCCTCTGCTACTGTCACCACCTTAAAGATCAAGGTACATTTCTTTCACCGGAACACCAAAATAACCTTCAAACTGGTCTGCATTGCTAATATGTTTTTGAAACCATTTCAAAAGCTTCTCATTGCAGTTTATTTTTTATTCCTTGCCCCACTCCCACCCTACCCCCAAGTCCCCAAAGTCCATTGTATCATTCTTATGTCTTTGTGTCCTCATAGTTTAGCTCCCACGTATCAGTGAGAACATACGATGTTTGGTTTCTCATTCCTGAGTTACTTCACTTAGAATAATAGTCTCCAGTCTCATCCAGGAGACTGTGAATGCCATTAATTCATGCTTTTTTATGGCTGAGTAGTATTCCATTGTATATAAATATACCACAGTTTCTTTATCCACTAGTTTATTGATGGGCATTTGGGTTGGTTCCACGATTTTGCAATTGCAAATTGTGCTGCTATAAACATATGTGTGCAAGTATCTTTTACGTGTAATGCCTTCTTTTTCTCTGGGCAGATACTCAGTAGTGGGATTGCTGGTTCAAATGGTAGTTTCACTTTTAGTTCTTTAAGGAATCTCCACACTGTTTTGCATAACGGTTTTACTAGCTTACATTCCCATGAACAGTGTAGAAGTGTTCCCTGGCATCCAGACCAACATCTACTGTTTTTTGATTTTTTTATTATGGCCATTGTTACAGAAGTAATGTGGTATCACATTGTGGTTTTGATTTGCATTTCCCTGATCATTAGAGGTGTTGATCATTTTTTCATAATGTTCGTTGGCCATTTGTATATCTTCTTTTGAGAATATCTATTCATGTCCCTAGCCCACTTTTTGATGGAATTGTTTTTTTCTTGTTGATTCGAGTTCCTTGTAGATTCTGAATATTAGACCTTTGTTAGATATACAGATTGTAAAATTGTCTCCCATTCTGTGGTTTTTCTGCTTCCTCTGCTGACTGTTCCTTTTGTTGTGCAAAAGCTCTTTATTTTAATTAAGTTCCAGTTATTTATCTCTGTTTTTATTGCATTTGCTTTTGGGTTCTTGGTCATGAAATCCTTGTCTAAGCCAATGTCTAGAAGGGTTTTTCTGATGTTATCTTGTAGAATTTTTATGGTTTCAAGTCTTAGTTAAGTCATTGATCCATCTTGAGTTGATTTTTGTTTAAGGTGAGAGATGAAGGTCCAGTTTCATTCTCCTACATATGGCTAGCCAATTATCTATCCTAGCATCATTTGTTGAAAAGGGTGTCCTTTCCTCACTTTATGTTTTTGTTTGTTTTGTCAAAGATCAGTTGGCTGCAAGTATTTGGGTTCATTTCTGGATTCTCTATTCTGTTCCATTGGTCTATGTGAATATTTGTGTATCAGTGCCATGCTGTTTTGGTGACTATGGCCTTAGAGTGTAGTTTGAAATAAGATAGTATGATGCCTCCAGATTTGTTATTTTTGTTTAGTCTTGCTTTGGCTATGTGGGCTCTTTTTTGGTTCCATATGAATTTTAGATTTTTTTTTCTTTCTGTGAAGAAAGATGGTGGTATTTTGATGGGGCTTGCATTGAATTTGTAGATTGCTTTTGGCAGTATGGTCATTATCACACTATTGATTCTACCCATCCATGAACATGGGATGTGTTTTCATTTGTTTGTGTCATCTCTCATTTCTTTCAGCAGTGTTTAGTAGTTTTCTTTGTAGAGGTCTTTCACCTCCTTGGTTAGGTATATTCCTAAATATTTCAGATTTTTTGCAGCTATTGTAAAAGGGCTTGAGTTCTTGATTTAATTTGCTGCTTGGTCACTATTGATGTGTAGGAGATTTACTACATTTGTGTACACTAATCTTGTATCTGAAAACTTTGCTGAATTATTTTGTCAGTTCTAGGAGCTTTCTGGAGAAGTCTTTAAGGTTTTTGAGGTAAACAATCATATTGTCAATAAACAGTGACAGTTTGACTTCCTCTTTACCAATTTAGATGTCCTTTATTTCTTTCTCTTCTCTGATTGCTCTGGCTAGGACTTCCAGTACTAAGTTGAATAGAAGTGGTGAAAATGAGTATCCTTGTCTTGTTCCAGTTCTCAGAGGGGAGGCTTTCAACTTTTCCCCATTCAGTATAATGTTGGCTGTGGGCTTGTCATAGATGGCTTTTATTACATTGAGGTATGTCTCTTGTATGCTGATTTTGCTGAGAGTTTTAATCATAAAGCAACACTGGATTTTGTTAAATGCTTTTTCTGTATCTATTGAGATGATCATGTGATTTTTGTTTTTAATTCTGTTTATGTGGTATATCACATTTGTTGACTTGCATATGTGAACCATCCCTGCATCCCTGGTATGAAACCCACTTGATCACGGTGGGTTATCTTTTTGATATGTGGTTGGATTCAGTTAGCTAGTACTGTATCATGGATTTTAGCATTGATGTTTATCAGGGATATGGGTTTGTAATTTTCTTTTTTGGTTATGTCCTTTCCTAATTTGGGTATTAGGGTGATGCTGACTTCATAGAATGAATTAGGAAATGTTTCCTTTTATACTATCTTGTGGAATAGTGTCAATAGGATTGGTACCAATTCTTTGAATGTCTGGTAGAATTCTGCTATTAATCCATCTGGTCCTGGACTATTTTTTTTTTGGTAATTTTTAAATTACCATTTTCAATCTCACTGCTTGTTATTGGTCTGTTTAGAGTATCTAATTCTTTCTGATTTAAGCTAGGAAGGTTGTATTTTTCCAGAAATTTATCTATCTCTTCTACGTTTCAAGTTTATGTGCAGAAAGGTGTCACAGTAGCCTTGAATGATCCTTTATATTTCTGTGGTGTCAGTTGTAATATCTCCCATTTGTTTCTTATTGAGGTTATTTGGATTTTCTCTCTTCTTTCTTGGTTAATCTTGCTAATGGTCTACCAATTTTATCTATCTTTTCAAAGACACAGGTTTTTGTTTTATTTATATTTTGTATATTTTTTTGTTTCAATTTCATTTAGTTCTGCTCTGATCTTGGTTATTTCCTTTCTTCTGGTGGGTTTGGATTTGTTTTGTTTTGTTTCTCTAGTTCCTTGAGGTGTGACCTTAGAATGTCAGTTTGTGCTTTTTCAGTCTTTTGATGTAGGTGTTTAGGGCTATCAAGTTTCCTCTTAGCACTGCCTTTGCTGTAACCCAGAGGTTTTGATAGGTTGTGTCACTATTGTCATTCAGTTTGAAGAATTTTTAAATTTTCATCTTGATTTCATTTTTGAGGAACAGGTTATTTAATTTCCATGTATTTTCATGGTTTTGCAGGTGCCTTTGAAGTTGGTTTTCAGTTTTATTCCTCTGTGGTCAGAGAGAGTGCTTGAAATAATTTCAGTTTTCTTAAATTCAATGAGTTTTTTTTCTGGCCTATCATAAGGTCTATCTTGGAGAAAGTTCCATGAGCTGTTGAATAGCATGTTTATTCTCTGGTTATTGGATGGAATGTTCTGTATATATCTCTTAAGTCCATTCATTCCAAGGTATATTTTAAATCCATTGTTTCTTTATTGGCTTTCTGTCTTGATGACCTGTCTACTGCTGTCAGTGGAATACTGAAGTTTTCCACTGTTATTGTGTTGCTGTCTATCTAATTTCTTAGGTCTATTAGTAATTGTTTTATAAATTTGGGAGGTCCAGTGTTAGGTGCATATATGTTTAGGATTGTAATATTTTCCTGTTGGACAAGACCTTTTACCATTATATAATGTCATTCTTTGTCTTTTTTAACTGCTGTTGCTTTAAAGTTTGTTTTGTCTGATATAAAAATAGCTACCCCTGCTCAATTTTGGTGTCCATTTTCGTGAAATGCCTTTTCCATTCTTTTATTTTAAGTTTATGTGAGTCCTTATGTGTTAGATGAGTCTCTTGAGGTAGCAGATAGTCAGTTGGTGAATTCTTATCCATTCTGCAGTTCTGTATCTTTTAAGTGGAGCATTTAGGCCATTTACATTTAATGTTATTATTGAGATGTGTGGTACCATTCCATTCATGGTGATATTTGTTGCCTGTATATCTTGGTTTTTTGTTTTATAGATCCTGTGTATTTATACTTTAGAAATGTTCTGTTTTGACATGTTTCCAGGATTTGTTTCAAGATTTAGAGCTCCTTTTAGTGGTTCTTGTAGTGTTGGCTTGGTAGTGGCAAATTTTCTCAGCATTTGTTTGTGTGAAAAAGACTGTATCTTTTCTTCATATATGATGCTTAGTTTCACTGGCTACAAAATTCTTGGCTGATAATTGTTTTGTTTGAGGAGGCTAAAGATAGGACCCCAATCCCTTCTAGCCCCAATCCCTTCAAGCTAGAAACTCTAGCTTTAGAATTTCTACTGAGAAATCTACTGTTAATCTCATAGGTTTTCCTTTATAGGTTACCTGGTGCTTCTGGATTGGGTTAATTCAAATAACTTGCCTTCAAGCTCTGAATTTCTTTTTTCTACTTGTTGAATTCTATTGCTGAGACTTTGCAGAGCATTTTGCATTTTTATAAATGTGTCCGATGTCTCCTGAAGTTTTTATTGTTTTTTCTTTATGCTATCTATTCCCTTGGATATTTCTCCCGTCACTTCTTGCATTGTTTTTTGGATTTGCTTGCATTGGGCTTCGCCTTTCTCTGGCGTCTCCCTGATTAGCTTAATAACTAAGCTCCTGAATTCTTTTTCAAGTAAACCAGGGATTTCTTCTTGGTTTAGATCCATTCCTAGTGAGCTAGTGTGATTTTTTGGTTGTGTTAAAGATCCTTGTTTTGTTATATTAACAGAGTTGGTTTTCTGGTTCCTTCTCATTTGGGTTAACTCTGTCAGAGGGAAGGTCTAGGGCTAAAGGCTGTTGTTCAGATTCTTTTGTCCCACGGGGAATTCCCTTGATGTAGAACTCTCTCCCTTTTCCTATGGATGTGGATTCCTGATGTTACTGGGGGGTCCTTTTTCTTATTGCTCCCAAGATGGTGGCAGGCTGCTTCCAAGATGGCGGCAAGCCCCTTGTTCTGTGACCTGGGGTTCTTGGCCTCATGGATTCCAAGGAATGGAATCTTGGGCCATGCAGTGAGTGTTATAGCTCTATTCAGCACAATTAGGACAAACCCTGGGCACTTAGCCCAGGCAGGAACAATGGTGAGCCTCTAGCCTGATTGGGAGCGGCAATGGACATGCCTCACTGGATCACAAGTGCAGCGGACACCCTGCCGTATCTGGAGGGGTGGAAGTCAACGGCGGGTCTGGGACGGCAGCAAACAGCAGTGGTGGACGGCAAGCGAAAGCTCAGCTCAAGCCATAACAAACACAGACCAGAAGAGTGTGCAGTTGCAAGATTTAATAAAGTGAAAACAGAGCTCCCATGTAATGGGAGGGGACCCAAAGGGCGTTGCCATTGCCATCTCAAGTGCCGGGGTTTATATCCTGACCATTGTCCCTCCCCCTGTGCTCTCAGGTGATAGATGATTGGCTATTTCTTTACCTCCTGTTTTTGTCTAATTAGCATTTTAGTGAGCTCTCTTTACTGCCTGATTGGTCTGGTGTGAGCTAAGTTGCAAGGCCCGTGTTTCAAGGTGGATGCAGTCACCTTCCCAGCTAGGCTTAGGGATTCTTAGTCAGCCTAGGAAATCCAGCTAGTCCTGTCTCTCACTGACAGCTGAGCTGTAGGGATTGTTATCTCTCTTCTGGGTCTAGCCACTTAGCAAGTCTACCAGGCTCTGGGCTGGTACTGGGAGTTGGCTGCACAGAGTCTTGTGATGTGAACTGTCTGTGGGTCTCTCAGCTGTGGATACCAGCACCTGTTCTGGTGGCGATGGCAGGAGGGTGAAATGGACTTTGTGAGGGTTCTTAGCTTTTGTGGTTTAATGTTCTATTTTTGGTCTGGTTGGTATCCTGCTGGGAGGTGGTGCTTTCCAGAGAGCATCAGCTGTGGTAGTAAGGAGAGCAACCAATGGTGGGTGGGGCCCTAGAACTCCCAAGAGTACACGCTCTTTTTTCAGTTACCAGGATGGATAGGGAAAGACCATCAGGTCAGGGCACGGCTATGTGTGTCTGAGCTCAGACTCTCCTTGGGCGGATCTTACTGTGGCTGCTGTGGGGGATGTGGGTGAGGTTACCAGGTCAATGGAGTTGTGTACCTAGGAGCATTATGGCTGCCTCTGCTGAGTCATGCAGGTTGTCAGGGAAGTGGGAGGAAGCCACAGTCACAGGCATCACCCAGCTCCCATGCAATCTGAAGAGCCAGTCTCACTCCCATCATGCTCCCCCTAACAGCCAAGTCTGTTTCCAGGCAGTGGGCAATCAGGGTTGAGTACTTGCCCCAGGATACCTGCCTCCCAGCTGCAAAAGAAAAGAGCTTTAGTTCTTCCCCTGCCTGCGGAGTCTGCACACCAGATTTGTGCCCTCCCCCGAGTTCTGACCAGGAGGCTTCTCGACTGGTCCAAATTATTACAAAGTTCAACTGAAGACTTCCTTCTTCCTATGGCATTTTCCTTGGGCCACTGGCCACACACCCTAAGGATCCTTGTGATGCCAGGCAGGAATGGCCTGCTTGAGGACCCAGCAAGCTCCCAGGGTCTTTCCGTTGCTCCTCTACTTCTGTATTTTGCTTGGCTCTCTAAATTGTCTCAGCTCCAGGTGAGGTCAAAATCTTGTGCTGCAAGCCAGACATTCAGTTTCCTCAGTGGGGGTGTGTGTTTGGGAAAAGAGGAACTTCCTTTCCCACTTCTGCAGTTTGGGCACTCACAGTATTTAGGGTGTCTCCTGGGTCCTTCAGGAGCAGTCTGCTTCCTTCAGAGAGTCTGTGGGTCCTTTTGGGATTCCCCATTTATTCCTACAGTCATTCTGGAGTTAAAATTCACAATGCGAATCTCTGCATGCTGCTCTATCCATCTGAGTCAGAGCTGCAATGTAATTCTGCCTCCCGTCCTCAATGATGATCCTTCTGTCCAAAAAAGAATATCGTTGACATCTGGATATAGTAATACATAGGTAGTTTGATAAACACATATAAACAGAATTATGTTATTCTTTGTAAATATTTATGTATATAAGAAATATTCATTAAGAGACATTTTAAATACGTCAGCCAATTTTGAGGACAAAGATGAAAATGAACTTCTCACCTATATGTCTCCATACCATAAAAGACTTGAACATAGCCAAACAATTTCATGTATAAACATCAACAAACCTTCACATTTATAGGCATGGCCTGGGAAATAAGCTTTTAGTACTGTCATTTAAGACTTTATGTTCAGCTTAGAATTTCAGGGTCCTGCATTTCTTCTCCCAGTGCGTGTGTGTTTTTCACATCTTCCATTCTGGGTCTCTTCATTGCGCTTATAACAATACCTAGTCTTTTAAACATGGCCTAGGAGGTACTGCATAATCTACCTATCAAATCCATCTTGTATTTTATTTTGAACTAGTCTCAGCCCACAGCACACTCTAAACACATTGTTCTTGTTTTAGTTTTCAAAAATGGTAAGCTCTCTCTTGGGTCAATTCATTTTGTTTATAGTTCACTCTTTCTGGAAATACTTCCCTTGCATACTCACATTTCTGGCTTCTTCTTATCCTTAGGTCTCATCTAAAATGTCAGCTCTGCAGAGGGGCCTTCTCATAGTATTTATCTGAAAAAGACACCTCATAGTGTTCTGTCATTGAGGCCTTTGATTTTCCTTCATTGCTATTATCACAATTTCTAATGATGTATTTTTTCACCTGTTAGGTTGTATACTCTGCAAACTTCAGATTGTGTCCTCTTGCTGATTACTATCTACTGTGACACAGCATATTTTCTGGCATACAGTGATACTTAAAGAAATTTTGCTGAATGAATGAACAAATGTATTTTGGAATGAAGCCTCTTTAACTGTCCTGGCATACTCTATTTAATCTAAATACTGTGTAACATGGGAGCCTTCAGAAATGAATACCCATAGAAACAGGAAAACCTGTATATTTTTACACAAAGTTTGATGAAGAAGTGAATAGTTGTGAAGAAGTATGATTGGACAAAGGGAGCATGATCTAGTGGTAACAAACTGGGAGAACTTAGCAAGGTCTGTTTGTTTAGTTTCTTCTCTGCATTGCTATCTGATATGGTTTGGCTGTGTCTCCACCCAAATCTCATTTTGAATTGTAGTTCCCATAATCTTCAGTGGGAGGTAATTGAATCTTAGGGGCAGTTACTCCCATGTTGTTCTTGTGATAGTAAGTGAATTCTCAAAAGATCGGATAGTTTTCTAAGGGGCTTTTTCCCATTTGCTCAGCCCTTCTCTTTCCTGTTGCCTTGTGAAGAGGTATTTTCACCTTCCACCATGATTGTCAGTGTCCTGAGGCCTTCCCAGCCAAGTGGAACTGTAAATCAATTAAGCCTTTTTTCTTTACAAATTACCCAGTCTTGGGTATTTCTTCATAGCAGCATGAAAATGGATTAATATGGTAAACTGATGCCAGGAGTAGTGGGGCACTGCTATAAAGATACCCCAAAATGTAGAAGTAACTTTGAAACTAGGTAACAAGCGAAGGATGGAATAGTTTGGAGGGGTCAGAAAAAGACAGGAAAATGTGGGAATGTTTGGAACTTCCTAGAGACTTGTTGGGTGGCTTTGACCAAAATGCTGATAGTGATATGGACAATGATGTCCAGGTTGAGGTAGTCTCAGACGTAGATGAGGAACTTCTTGGAAACTGGAGCAAAGGTCACTCTTGTTATGCTTTAGCATTGGGTTTGGAGGCATTTTGCCCCTCCCCTAGAGATCTGTAAAACTTTGAACTTGAAAGAGATTATTTGGAATTGGAACTCATGTTTAGAAGGGAAGCAGAGCATTAAAGTTTGGAAAATCTGCAGCCTGTTGATGCAATAGAAAAGGAAAACTTATTTTCTGAGCAGAAATTCAAGCAGGCTGCATAAATTTGCATAAGTAATGAGGAGCCAAATATTAGTTGCCAAAACAATGGGGAAAATGTCTGCAGGGCGTCAGAGGTCTTCATGGCAACCCCTCTCATCACTAGCTCAGAGGCATAGAAAGAAAAAATGGTTTCCTAGGCTGGGCACAGGGCCCCCTGCTCTGCGCAGCCTCAGGACATGGCACCCAGCATCCCAGGTGCTTCAGCTCCAGCCATGGCTAAAAGGGACGAGGGTACAGCTCGGGACACTAATTCAGAAGATGCAAACCCCAAGCTTTGGCAGTTTCCACATGGTGTTGAGCCTGTGGGTTCACAAAAGTGAAGAATTGAGATTTGGGAACCTCCACCTATACTTCAGAGAATGTATGAAAATGACTGGAGGTTCAAGAAAAGTTTACTGCTGGGGTGCATCCCTCATGGAGAACCTCTGCTGGGGCAGTGCAGAAAGAGAATGTGGGGTTGGAGCCCCCACACAGAGTCTCTACTGGGGCACTGCCTAGTGGGGCTGTAAGAAGAGGGCCACTGTCCTCTAGACCCCAGAATGGTAGATCCACTGACAACTTGCACCATATTCCTGGAAAAGCTGCAGACATTCAATGCCAACCTGTGAAAGCAGCCAGGAGGCAGGGGCTGTACCCTGAAAAGCCACAGGGGTAGACTGCTGAAGGCCATAGAAGCCCATCTCTTGCATCAGCATGACCTGGATGTGAGACATGGTGTCAAAGGAGATTATGTACCAACTGTAAGGTTTAATGACTGCCCCACTAGATTTCGGACTAGCATGGTGCCTGTAGACCCTTTGGGCCCATTTCTCCCATTTGGAATGGGTATATTTACCCACTGCCTCTACTGCCATTGTATCTAGGAAGTAATTACCTCGCTTTTGATTTTACAGATTCATAGGCAGAAGGGACTTGCCTTGTCTCAGATGAGATTTTGGACTTTGACTTTTGGTTTAATGCTGGAATGAGATAAGCATTTGGGGGCTGTTGTAAAGGCATGACTGTGTTTTGAAATGTGAGAACATGATATATGGGAGCTGCTGGGGGTGGAATGATATGGTTTGATTGTGTCCCCACCCAAATCACATCTAAAATTGTAGTTCCTATAATCCCCATGTGTCATTGAAGGGACACAGTGGGAAGTAATTGAATCATAGGGGTGGTTACCCCACATGCTCTTCTTATGATAATGAGTTTTCACAAGATCTCATGGTTTTAAAATGGGCTTTCCCCTGCTTTGCTCACCACTTCTTCCTGCTGCTCTGTGAAGAAGGTGCCTTTCTTCCCTTTCACCTTTTGCCATGATTGTAAGTTTCCTGAGGCCTTCCAAGCCATGTGGAACTGTGAGTCAATTAAACCTTTTTCTTTTGTAAATTACTCAGTCTTGGATATTTCTTCATAGCAGCATGAGAATGGACTAATACACTATCTTCAGAGATATGGCTGTTCCTTTCCTCCCAGTGCATAGTAGACACCCCTCACATGAGGGTTTTATGACCCGCTTCAAGAAAGAAAGGTATAAGAAGGTCAGAGAGTGACCATCCTGTTTCTGTTGTTTTCTCAAATGCCAAGGTACCATATTTGGGGGTAACTTGTCCTGAATCCTATCAGGAGATAAATTAAAGAGAAAAAAACAGCATCAAATTAAGAGCAGAAACACAGGTGAGTTTGAATCTTCATTGCTATCCTCTCCTTTTGCTATCTTTTCATGGTGTTCAATGCATCTCCTTCCCTATTATTACTTTAACACTTGTTTCTTCAAAATATAACTCTTTTAAGAGAAAATAAAGTGACTCACAAGAACCATACTAATTATAATTACATTCCTAGTGTCCCTCACTTATAAAAATTTGATTCCAAAAAGTATCCTTAAAAGTGTTTTTATTTCTAATAATAGAATCAAAGAAAGAGTTCTTTGCAAAATTAATTTAAATTTGTTTTTCAAGCATTCTGTTAAGTTAATGAGAAAAACCCTTATGATTTGAATGTTGAAATCCCTCATTTTTTTTTAATAAGTCCATTTGATTCAACAGGACTTCAAAGATGAGTAGATAAAGATGCAAATTAATTTAATAGATAAGCCACCAAAGGGCTGATTAAGAGCATTTATTGACTCTTCTTTAGCTGATTTCAAGACACATCCAATAACCAGGGGTTAAATGAAAACATAGAGACAACAGGTTTATTTTGTAAGACTCTTCAGAATAAAAAGAGAGCATAAATGGTCACATATATTTTGATACAGTCATTGTGAATGGTGCATTAATAAGTAAGTCTTTGTGTCCTAAAAATACAGGCATAACCCCCAGTACTATGGCACTGTTAATCAAATATGCATTCCAGAAACTGGCAGAAATTCTTTTGATGAGCCATTGCTGGTACTTTACAAGTTAAAAGCCATCCTCTTAATATTGTTAAATTTAATTCTCTTTTACAAAATGTAATTTTTCTCTGTCATGTTACATGAAACTGGGACTTAATTTCAAAATTTAAATTTTTAAACCTATGGATTATATGTATAAAATAGAAATACATGTAAAATGTATTCATATATTCAAATAATATTCAAATTCATAAAAGAAGTATCTGTTAATAATTGTAATAAAAATTCAGAGCTTAAGTGTTTAATTTGAAATACCTATAATCTAAACCAATCAATTAACTATTTAATAGTTGAAAATTTTAAGATCAGTATACTTTTGAATTATAAATTATGAGCATAATATTAGCATATTGACTTTAGTGCATATAATTCTTTCATTGATTATGAAGCAGGTTTAAAAAAAAATCTTTTTTTTTCAAAGCCAGTCTCCTGAATATTTCTTTCCAAAGTATTAAACTATCCCCCAGTTTTATGTAGTATGCCATGAGTAAACTGAAACAAATTGGTGAGTTCTAGATTTAATTTTTCACAATGTTCCATAAGCCTGTTTATCTTTCCCTTTTTCCTTTATTGACTTGAGTGATCAATTTTTCTCATGTTTCTGTGTTATTATCCCTTAATTACAGAGTGATACTTGTATTTTTAATATTTATGTTTGTAATAGGAACAAAAATTACCCCAGTGTGCATTGTTGGGCATAGGAAAAAATCTGGTGAGCATGGGAAACTTGAATTTGATGCAGTTTGGGTATACTGTTGGCCTTATCCACCATTCTGTCCTCCCCTGTTCAAATTCTCCATCTTTCTCTCCTGTGGGGGAACAATATCATTAACCAGCTCGTTCACTATGTACTTCTTTGATTACTATCCCCAGAGTTAAAACCTATCCTAAAGTTGGTAAAGAATTCCTAATATTCTTTTCATACAGCATCTATTTATATGTTTTAAAGCATGCCTTGTTCAATTTTGCATATTTTTAATTTTATATAAATGTAAATGTACACGGGGAAAAGCTCAAACACAGAGACTAACCAAAAATGGGAAACAAGAATTCTAGGCCTAGGGAACAAAGGAAAGAGGGAACTAAAGAGACCCCTTTGATATTCACCTGTATAGTCTGTTGGGGAGAATTCTGAAGGTTTGGAGGGACAGCCCTTAAACCACCGACAAAGAAAAACAAGAGATGATAAAGTTTTGCTGTTTTACCTGGCCCAAAGATCCCATTCATAAGTCTTTGGTCTTTTGGCCTATGTTTGGCTCAGGAGGATAGAATGTGCCAAGTTTTAATTCTCTATGTAAATGATAAAACTCCATCCTCACAAGAAGAGATGGGTTATGCTCTTTGTTGAATCAGGTAATTCGTCCCCATGTTCCCCCTTAAAGAAGGAGAAAAAGAGCGTAGTAAAGAGCGCTCACCCATTGAAAATCCCTGGGATACCCTAACATGCTTTCCCCCGACATATGTCTCCCAAAATAAAGAACAGGAAGATCAGGGGGCAAAAGGAAGGCCAGAGGAAGAGAAATCTGGCCCTTAAGGGAATTAAACCCAGTGTTCCCTTAAATCATTATCTGAACTTGAGGAAAGAATTAGAACAATGTAAGAAGGACATTAAGAATTTATGTGTTCCCTCCAAACAGCAGATGTCTGTCTAACAGGTTCCCTCTCAGAGAAGTCCCTATGGGACAGGTAGGAGTTGCATTTGTGAGTGTGCCTTTAACAAGTACTGAGGTTAGAAATCTTAAAAAGGAAATGAGGCCACTTCTAAAAGATCCGCTTGGTTTAGCAGAACAGCTAGATCAATTTTTAGGATGTAATCTTTATAGTTGGGCTGAAATAATGTCAATCATGAATATTCTGTTTACTGGGGAAGAGAGGGGAATGATTAGAAGGGCAGCCATGATCATTTGGGAGAGAGAGCATCCTCCCAGGCAATGAGTCCTGCCATCTGGGCAGAAATTCCCAACTGTATATCCCAAATGTAATAATAATGACCCCAGGAATTGGGCCCAAATGCAAGATTTTAGGGAAGTAATAATTAGGAGGATTCAAGAGTCCACTTCTAGGACACGAAATGTCTTGAAAGCATTTGAGATTCAGCAAGAAAAAGAAGAGACTCCCTCTGAGTTTCTGCAGAGGCTCAGGGATCAAATAAGAAAATGTTCAAGATTAGATACAAAGGACCCAGTAGGGCAAGATCTTTTAAATGTTAATTTTGTAACTAAAAGCTGGCCTGATATTACTAAGAAACTACAAAAGATTGATAGACGGAATGAGAAACCAATTGAGGAATTACTGAGGGAATTTCAGAAGGTTTTTATTAAGAAGAGAGGAAGATAGACAGAAACAAAAGGCAAAGATCATGGTTTCCACTGTAGAGGAAGTAGTTAGAAATAGTTTAAATCAAGACCCCTCTTGGAGAAGATGAGAGAATACTAGGTCTCAGAAAAGAGACAGGAGGGAAATAAAGGGAACAACTCCAAAGACTGCAAGTGGATGTTACAAATTTGGAAAACCAGGACATTTTAAGAGAGAATGTCTGGAATGGAAAAAGGAAGAGAATGTGATCCCCTTTATGAATTTTGATGGAGAATAGGGGTATCAGTGGTTCTTTCTGAGCAGGTCCCACCAGGAACCCTTGATAAACTTGAGGGTGGAACCAGAAGGGGAAAAAATAAAATTTTTGATAGACACTGGAGTGGCTTGCTCCTCCCTAATGTACCAACCAAGGGGCACAGAACATTCTAGGGAAAAGTTAACAGTATCGGGGTGAAGGGGGAGGGATTTTAGTTTCCAATATTTAAGAAAGTGTTAATTAGGCTGGGATCAGAACAAATTAAGTGGTCACTCCTATATGTCCCCGACGCAGAAACTAGCTTCCTTGGTTGAGACCTGATTATTAGATTAGGTTTAGGATTAGGAGTAGAGGAGGGGCAAATAAAAGTAATGATAAGGCCTCCTAACAGAGGAGGGAAAAAGTAAAATTAATCCCCTCGTGTGGGTTAAGGAAGGCAACAGGGGAGGATTAAAAATCACACCCTTACAAATTGAACTAAAACAACCACGAAAAATAGTTTTCAGAAAAGAATATCCCATATTCATTAATGGGAGGAAAGTTCTTCAACCAGTAATAGAGAAATTAATTAAAGATGGACTATTGGAACCCTGCATGTCACCATACAACACTCCAATTCTCCCGGTCAAGAAACCAGATGGGTCACATAGATTAGTGCAAAATCTAAGGGATATAAATCAAAGTGTCCAAACTCACCATCCTGTGGTGCCTGACCCCTATGGCCTCCTTAGTAAAATATCCTATGAACATAAGTGGTTCAGTGTAATGGATCCAAAAGATGCATTCTGGGCGTCCCCTAGACTCTAAGATTAGGACACTCTTTGCCTTTGAATAGGAAAATCTCATAACTGGGAGAAAGCCACAGTACCAATGGACTGTGCTGCCACAAGGTTTCATGGAAGCCCCAGACTTATTTGGTCAAGTCTTAGAAAACGTCCTGGAGGAATTCCAACCTTCAAGAGAAACCCAGTTGTTACAATATGTGGATAATCTTCTAATTTCGGGGGAAAGAAGGGCCGTGGTATCAGCAGCTACCATAAGCTTGCTTAGTTTCCTAAGGGAAAGGGGATTGTGAGCCTCCAAAAACAAATTGCAATTTGTAGAAAAAGAAGTTAAATATTTAGGACATCTAATTGGTGACAGAAAGTGGAGAATAAACTCAGAAAGAATATTGGAATAGTGGGTCTGCCCTTGCCTAAGACAAAGAGAGAACTCTGAAAAAATTTCAGGTTTAACTCATTACTGTAGGTTATGGATTAACTCATAGGCTCTAAAGAAAAAGATTCTGTATTTTAAGTTACTAGAAGGGGAACCTGACCCTTCTAGTAACTTAATGGGGTTACCCTTCTAGTAACTTAATGGTCCCCATAGGGGACCCCATTAAGGCAATGGAGGATTTAAAGCAAGCCCTCATCCCAACCCCAGTCCTGGCTCTCCCATCTTTAGAAAAAATGTTTCATATGTTTGTAACAGTAGACCAGGGTGTGGCCCTTGGGGTGTTCACTCAAACCTGGGGTCAGAAGAGGCAACCTGTTGCTTTTATCTCCAAGCTTCTTGATCCTGTCTCTAAAGGGTGGCCCAAATGTGTGCCAGCAGTAGCTGCCAAGGCCCTGCTGGTAGAGGAGAGTCGAAATCTGACCTTGGATGGGGCCCTGTTAGTGAGCACCCCGCATCAGGTTAGGAGTATATTAAATCAAAAAAGCTGGGAGATAGTTTACTGATTCCCAGATTCTAAAATATGAAGCCATATTACTAGAAAAGATGATTTGGTCTTAACAACAGATACTTGCTTGAATCCAGCCAGTTTCTTATGGAAAAGAGAGAAGAATAAAGAGGCATCAAACCATAACTGTTTAGATATCATAGAATATCAAACCAAAGTTAGACCAGACCTTAAAGAAGCTCCATTACATGATGAGATAAGGCTGCTTGTGGATGAGTCGTCCTGAGTGATAAATGGCAAGAGACAATGGCTATGTTGTCATTAATGGAAAACAAACAAACAAAAAAACAAACAAACAAAAATAAAAAACAATCCTTATGTAAGAAAGGTAGCTTATCTAATGGCTGGTGAGCCCAAACCTGTAAATTATATGCTCTTAACCAGTCCCTAAAGCTCCTACAAGGCCAAGACAGCATTATGTATACTAATCCCAAATATGCCCATGGAGTGATACAAACCTTTGGAAAGATCTGGACAGAGTAGGGCCTAATAAATAGTAGGGGAAAATAATTGTTACAGGGGAATGGGTCACACAAGTTTTCAGTAGCCTCTTGCTTCCAGCAGAGGTAACACAGTTCATATAAATGGCCATCAAAAAGGGAACACTATGGAGGTTGTAGTCAATAGGCTTATGGATGTAGCTGCTAAGCAAGCTTCCCTGGAGGAAAAAGTTAGACTATTTAGCCTAATTCCAGATATCTCTAAGGTAGTATTAAGCCCCAATTTTCCAAACAGGGGAAAGAGGAACTGGGCAAGATAGGGGCCGCTCAAACTGAAGATGGAAGATGGGTGCTCCCTGATGGGAGAAAAATGATAAGTAAACCCATAATGAGAGAACTAATGTTCATGCTGCACAAAGGAAGTCACTGGGGTCCCCAGCATATGTGTCATGCAATATTGAAGAATTATGGGTATATAGGGATTTATATCCTTGTTAAAAAAGTATGTGGAGTTTGTGTGATCTGCCAAAGAATAAACAAAACAGTAGTTAGAGCACAGACTACTGAAGGAAAACCTCCCGGGTTAAGACCATTTCAAAACATGGAAGTAAATTTTACAGAAATGCCAATAAAAGGGAGACTAAAGTATCCACTAGTAATAGTAGACCACCTCTCTGGCTGGGTGAACACCTTCCCTCTCCCAACTGCAACCTCCAAGAATGTCATCAAAATCATTTTAAGACAAATTATACCCAGATTTGGCTTGGTGAAAAATACCGATTCAAACAATGGAAGCCAGTTAAACTCGAGGATGCTAAGGGGAATTATGGAAGTTTTACACATCAGATAAGATTACCACACCCCTTGGCATCCCCCTTCCTCTGGAAAGCTAGAGAGAATGAATCAAACTCTCAAAGGGCATATTAGCAAACTCATCTTAAAACTAAAATGCCTTGGACAAAATGTCTCCAAATAGCACTCCTTAGGATTAGGACAACCTCAAGGAAATACCTGGGATTGTCCCTCTATGAGTTAATATATGGACTCCCGTATTTAGGCAGGGCTACTGACCTTCCTACTATGGAAACTAAAGACCAATTATTAAGAAACTATATACTGGCCATATCCTCTACCCTGTCATCCCTTAAGTTAAAAGGACTTCTGACTCAAACTCTGCCTCTTGAGTTCACAGTCCACTACTTCCAGCCTGGCAACTTGGTGCTAATTAAGACTTGGAAGGAAAACAAGCTCCACCCAAACTGGGAAGGTCCCTAACAAGTGCTCCTGACCACGAAGACAGGAGTGCAAAGAGCTGAATGAGGGTGTACTCATTATACTCGGGTCAAGAAACTGGTAAAAGAAATCCTAGAAAAAAGTAAAAGGGGCTAATAGGAAATGTATAAATCACTTAAGGAACCCTTAAAGTTAACTCTGAGAAAAACCTAGAAGGGAACTATGAGAGAGCCCCTTCACTGGGGGTGGATATGATTAGGATTAATCCTAATACAAGGTGTGAAAGAAAGCCCGAGTATTGGTTGGGGCCTAGTGGTGGAAAGTAGGGAATACCTAATCAAGCTGATAATCAACATAACTAGGGCCTCCACCCCTGAGACCCTAAAGTTTGATGCCTGCCAAGTCACCTTGTGGAAATTTTAAAAAACCAAAGGCAGTTGTCATAAGCAGACAAATATTTATGTTCTGAAATGGGCTGCTATTGGGGAAAGCCCTGTGCTAGCTGGAATGAGGTCTGGTGGACCACTCAATTTCAAGGTTGGGTGAGTCATTCTTCCAAAAACAGAACTTTAAGGGATAAAATACATATATATAAGGGCCCCCATGCCACACAACTGTGAAAATTTAGAATGGAATCCTATATCAATCACAATAAACTAGCTACTTTAGACCAGGAACCTTGGAGGTATGGATTAGGAATAGATATCTCAGGAAGGGATCTCATGGAATGGTTAGCTCTCAGGCTATTCACCAACTCAAACTTGAGCTCACCCAGGGTTACTATAACTCCTAGTCCCATGACTTCCTTCAACTCACCAGGCAATAACCCTGAGAGAGTAAAATTAATTAAGATAACTGATCTCAGACAAACTTTAAAAATTGAGACCAGATATGGGGATGTAAATGTTGGGTTCAATGGGTCAAATTTTTGGTACTAGCCCTCAACAAAAGCGACTGTTATGCATGCTCTGCTGAGAGGCCTCAGGCACAGGTGGTTCCATTTCCCCTAGGATGGAATACCAATTCGAAAAGAATGTGTTGTATGTTGGCTCTATACCAGGACAGGAATGCATGGGGAAATAAGACTTGCAAAAGTCTATCATTGCTCTTTCCCACCTTGCAAAGATCAGACCCTAAAGCAATCTTCTCATTCTCCATAGGGAATATGAATCACTCCTCTTGCCTCTCTAGGCAGGGGACATAGTTCTATAAGCCCATGGGAGAACTCTCAACTTGTACCCACATCCTAAACATGACTGGTGAGTAAAACAAGGTAATTTCTTGGCTCTTCATATACCCCAGGCTGATATCTGGTGGTATTGTGGGAAGAGAAACCTCCGTGACCTGTTACCATCCAATTGGACCAGGATTTGTGCCTTAGTTTAGTTGGCCATTCCATTCACCCTGGCATTCCATAAGATCTCTGAGAATTCACATGGCCACCGAAGTTGGAGAGATTTAATAAATTATTTGAATCCCAACATTTATATTAACTCAATAGGAGACCCTAGAGGAGTACCTAATAAATTTAAGGGCCAAAACCAAATAGCTGCAAGGTTTAAGTCAGCACTCTTCTGGTGCTCCACTATTAATAAAAATGTGGATTGGATTAATTACTTCTATTATAATAAAGAAAGATTCATCAACTATACTCAAGACACTCTCAAAGGAGTGGCTAGCCATTTAAATGCCACCAGCTGAATGGCCTGGGAGAACAAACTTGTGTTAAACACAATCCTAGCAAAGAAAGGGAGCATATGCATTGTGCTGGGTGTAAAAATGTTGCATTTTCATTCCTAATAATACTGCCCCAGATGGAACAATCACAAAAGCATTGCAAGGGTTAACAACTCTAACCAATAAATTGGCAGAAAATGCTGAAATCAATAACCCATTTACTAATTGGCTAGAGGGTTGGTTCGGGAAATGGAAAGGAATGGTAACTTCCATTCTAACATCTCTTATAATAATGGCTGGAGTTCTAACAGCTGTAGGGTGTTGCAATATCCCCTGTGTTAAAGGGTTAACAGTAATGAATAAAAACAGCCGTGAGCAAACAAATGTCAGTAACGTATCAACTGTTATTGGGGTAAAAAGAAAAAGAGAAGGGAATTAAAGGAAATAATGTGTATGATGGTCTGTTCCCAAGACAAAGTGCCTTGAATTAGCTTGAGTCTGCAAACTACAAAATGACAGGATATACTAGGCCCCTGCTTTGATAGCTGGCACCTGCTTATTGGGGGCCCCCCTTAGTTGCCCTCACCCAAACCAAAAAAGTTTAGCCTGAAATAAAACTTTACTAGCCTGCAAAATAGCTCACTTTATCTCCTCTTACCAGCTTGCCTGACTACCTAGGTCATAAGTCAAAAATACTTGAAAAGCCCCTAAGTTGATTATAATTGCAATGCATTGTGGGTTTCAACAAAATGCAGTGAGACAACCCTAAAGATGACACGCGAAAGCCCCTACCTAACAACCAATAGGTGACGTATGGGAAGATTGTGACCCCACAGTACTCAGCCTATGAAGAACTAGGGGAAGGACCTGTAAACTAGGGGATAAATTGCTTGTTGTAATTGTGCTGGATGTGACTTCACATCAGACACCCTATCTTGCAAGACTGTCATTAAAAGTCTTACTTCTACTTTCCTCCATGTCTGTGAATCCATTCTTTGGGTTTGGATGGGTGAGTTTGTTTCTCAAAGCCTTTTACAAAATAGTGGATATTTTGGGTTATTTCCAGTCTGCGCATTATCAGGGTATTAAACCTGTGCTCCAAACCTATAATTCTATTCCTTGCTTGGCTTTGTGATTCTGGGACTGAACTTTCCTTCTTTTCTTTTCTTTTCTTTCTTTTTCTTTCTCTCTCTTTCCTTCCTTCCTTCCTTCATTCCTTCCTTCCTTCCTTCCTTCCTTCCTTCCTTCCTTTCTTCCTCCCTTCCTTCTTCCCTCCCTCCCTCTCTCTCTCTTTCTTCTTTCTTTCTTTTCTTTATCTTTCTTTCTTTCTTTTTTTTGATGGTGTTTCACTCTTTTTGCCCAGGCTAGAGTGCAATGACGTGATATCGGCTCACCGCAACTTCTGACTCCCAGGTTCAAGTGATTCTCCTGCCTCAGCCTCCATAGTAGCTGGGATTACAGGCATGCACCACCACACCTGGCTAATTTTGTGTCTTTAGTACAGACGAAGTTTCTCCATGTTGGTCAGGCTGGTATTGAACTCCCAACCTCAGGTGATCCACCTGCCTCGGCTGAACTGCACATTTTTCTTTGCCAGCTGACTTCAGTTAGATTCAATTAATATGAGTTGTTATAAGGCAACTACAAATTAGAGGAGGGAGAATAGACTTGCTTTTTCCTATTAGTTTTCTGTTGCTTACTTGAGCTTCCTTTCAGCATCATCTTACCAAGTATCTTGTACTCAGCAATGGAAATTCCTTCCCACCGCAGTAGTTAGATCTGCTTTTACCCAAACTCCAAAAAACTAGCCTTATTCTGTCCCTTCAAAGACACCAGCACCAGATAACTGATGCCTCCTCCTGAGAGGTTTAGAAACAAGCCAAGCCCTCCTTCAGAGGGTTCAGCTACATGTTGGGTATGCAGGGCCTCCACCCTAATATGTTGATATTAATACGTTCCATCTCTTCCATTTTGTACTCTTTAGTCCTAAAGATGTTAGCTGCTTCCTGCAGTTTCTTCCTTTGTGAAAACTTTATATTCTCTTTCTGCCTTGATAGGTATCAATCTAGTTTACAAAATTATATATAGTTAATAATTTTTATATTTAATTCTCTCTGTTAAAGTAACTGGAGTGATGCGCATATCCTGATTGAAACCTCATGATTTTTTAAAAAACATTGCTAAAAAAATCTTTGAGCATTATTATAAATGCACATTTTTTTTTTTTTAGACGGAGACTTGCTCTGTCACCCAGGCTGGAGTGCAGTGGCACGATCTGGCATCACTGCAAGCTCCGCCTCTGGGTTCCCGCCATTCTCCTGCCTCAGCCTTCCAAGTAGCTGGGACTACAGGTGCCCGCCACCACACCTGGCTAATTTTTTTGTATTTTTTAGTAGAAACGGGGTTTCACCGTGTTAGCCAGGATGGTCAAGATCTCCTGACCTCGTGATCCGCCCACCTCTGCCTCCCAGAGTGCTAGGATTACAGGTGTGAGTCACCGCGCCTGGCCTAAATGCACATTTTAAATAATTCCTCTAGTGCATAGTCTAAGAGTGCAGTTGGATCCTAGGTTGTTCACAGGTTTAACTACAAGATAATTACCACTCCTTCTACAATGTGGTTTTGCCAATTACACTTCCAAAAGAAAGTAGTAAAGCAGAGTTCACTGTACTCAATCTTCTCCTCAACACTGATAGTCCACCAGTTTTTTTGTTTGTTTGTTTGTTTGTTTGTTTTTAGCTAAGTCTTGTTCTGTCACCCAGGCTGAAGTGCAGTGGTGCAATCACAGCTCGTGGCTGCCTTGACCTCCCAGGTTCAAGCAATCCTCTCACCTCAGCCTCCTAAGTAGCTGAGATGACAGGTGCATACCATTATGCCTGGCTAATTTTTTGATTTTTTTTTTTGTAGAGACAGAATCTCCCTTTGTGGCCCAGACTGACCTCAAACCCCTGGGCTCAAAGTGTCCTCCCATCTCAGCCTCCCAGAGTGCTGGGTTTACAAGGGTGAGCCACTGTGTCCCTTTTTTTCTTCTAGTGGTTGTGATATTATATAACATTGTCCCTTTAATATGTGTTCTTTACATTATAATGAGCTTGGATGTATTTATACATACAAAAACATTTTATGTTTTAGTGGTGGTACTTGAAATTAAATGATGGTACATACACAGGAATCGTATCTGTGCTCAAATCATCTCATCCCTGAGTTCAGCACTGCAGTGGAAACACCGTTATTATAGAGGGTAAATGATGTTTGTAGACTTTCACACAATGCAGCCAATGTAGGTTCAAAGGTAAAAAGAGTTGGTAAGATGAAAGAGAAAGAATTTTAGAAGAGAAAACTCTGCCATGGGTCAAGTAAGAATTTCAAAGAGAAATGACTCCATCCATTTTCCTCAAAGGTAATAGTACAGGAGGGCTTTTGAAAGGTAGGGAATAAGCCTGACTAATGACATTTGTAATGCACTCCCTATTTTAAATCCATTGACAGCATTTCCAGAACCAATGTCTTATGGAAAACTGAGGCCATTATGTTGCTTTTGTCTGCATTCACTAAACATTGGCTTCTCTCTCCAGTATTTTTTTGAGAAAACAACTATGTCTCAGATGCACACGTGACCACTACTAAAGGAAAATCTTAAATGGGTTAGCAGTGAAATTAAGTTCTGCAAATATGAAGATAATAGAGCTAAAATGATGATATTGACACTTTGACATTTAGTTTACCCAGTTATATTTTGTCCTAATCCTAGAAATGTTAAAACATTTCATCATTATTCAAATCAGTGAAGGATGTGCATTAATTATACATAGACATCATCAACACTGGGAATATAGACATTGCATCAAAAATAAGATCTCCAAATCTCCTCTACTCATAAAATTCTCTTTGAAATCAAAGTTCAAAGCATGAGAATATGATCCATGTGTGTGTGCCAAGACCAAGGTTTTCCTGTGCAGAAAGTCAGTTATTACTTCTAATATAATTTTCGCAAGTGTACTAGAAACAAAATGCAGAGCCTTGGAGATTTACTACGTGTTATTCCAACATTTTGGTAAACTATTCACAAGTCATTTATGAGATGAAAGCCATATTTTAGGAACTAAGAAACATTTATTTTTGAACAGGTGATTAAGCTACCTAGCAGAGATGTTAACTTTCTTCATGGTGACAATGAAAAAGAAAAATATTTCTAGCTATGAAGCTTGAATGTCAAAAAGTAATATCAAGTCAGACACTTGTTATTTTGATACAAGAGTTTATGACATAGCTTCTCAGTTTCCAAGGCTTATACTCTGTAACTGATGTGAATGTTGAGGAAGCAGGTCTAGATTTCAAGATTCATTTGATCTTCACAAGACAGTAATATCACTCCATGCATTGCTTTGGTTTCATGCCTTGGTGTCCAGGTATTCTCCATACAGTGTGTGTTCATGTGTTCTCCTTCTCCATCTGATGCACAGCTTCAGGAAGCCTATTTTGTATCATGGCCACCCTGTGGTTTACCATGCCTTCCTCTCTTTCCTAACTGACAAACAGATGTGACAATAACTCCTTCATTTTTCTGGGAGGAATCTGTGACAGAAGTGTGCCTTGGACAGTATAAATCAAAAATAAAATTCTAAGATTCCCCAACTGACTGAATAGACCCCTCCTCTTAGCCAAGGACATTCCAAAGTTAACCTGAAAAACAAGTTTAGGCCATGATTGGAAAAGGGGTTCTAACGTGCCACATTATACTCTACTGCCTTTGGAATTCAACCTCAACTACCAGCATTAACATTAAAACAGAGATCTTAAGACTGACAAAACAGACTCTGTGTAGCAATAAGATGACAAATTCCAACCTGACTCTAGTATAGCATCACATGACAGGTAACAGACCCTGAAAGAAATCACACTAGCTTTAATGTTATATAATTCCAAAAGCACAAATGTCATAATTTTCAAAGAAAGACTAATAGAAACAAGATTAGGGATTCTGAATTAATTTGAATGATCAAAACTATTTCATCTATTTTTCCATTAGACAAAAGAAAGAAAAAGAAAGAAAGAGAGAAAGAGAGAGAGAGGGAGAGAGGGAGAGAGGGAGGAAGGGAGAGAGGGGGAAAGGAAGGAAGGAGGGAAGAAAGGAAGGAAGGAAAGAAGGAAGAGGAGAGAGAGAGAGAAATGGAGAAAGAGTAACTGAATACAATTTGTATATGTAATTTTTCATATTTGAATTTTTCTGGAAAATAATTGCATTTTGAATTGAGAAACTTACTAAAAATTTTACTTCAGCAAGGTGACATCCATTGCATACATCCCTTATGTAAACTTTACCAGATCTGCATTTTTACTAACAGTTGCTAAAAGCAGTACATACACAGGGAGCAGTGCTACCCCCTGAGCAAGTTCTCTCTTTCACTGACCTTAGTTTTCTAATTTCTACTGCTGTATATTCAGAATCATTTACTTACGCTATAATTACTTTATTTGTTATAAAAATAATAATCATAAGATTTTGCTTGTATTGATGACAGGGAAAATAAGCAATAATTATTTTATTGCTGCTATCACTTAATAGAGTCACTATGTGCTAATGTGTTAAGTAATTTTTCACAATTTAAGTATTTTTCTAAATATCTACAGTTTAACTTAAGTTTTTACAAATATTAATTAGGATTTTTTTTTCTGTAGCAAATGTGGTAATCAAGTCTGATGTAGAAAGAAGAAAAATACAGAACTCTTGATAGTTACCTGGAACAAAAACTACAAATTATTAGGGTTCTAGTACTAGTATTAAAAAATCTAATGTTTTCTTCTACCCTTGATTCATTACGTTTAAAATTCAAAACTTCTGGAAAGAGATCTTAATTGGCTAAATCTAGGCTACATGGCTTCACCTTGACTTTTCTGGGAAGCCAAATCTGCAAGATCTCCAAAAGTTTCCAGATACTAGGCTGGATACCTTTCACACTGTTTCACCAAGATTAGCTATTTGGTTATAGAAATCTATATTTTTAAATTCTTATCATAGTTCATTGTGAATCTAGATCATATAAAATAGATATACTGTATATCTTCAGCCATACTTAAACACTTTACTAATATATAACTTTAAAGATATATTGACATAAGACTGAGAAGCAGAAAATTGTGGGGAAGTAAGAAGAGAAGACATATAGTAACATATTTAGCTTTTCAATTAATTTCTTTCATTTTATTCATCATTAAAAGTTTAGCTTTTTTTTTTTTTTTTTTTGAGACAGAGTCTCACTCTGTTGCCCGGGCTAGAGTGCAGTGGCGTGATCTTGGCTCACGGTCACCTCATGGGTTTAAGTGATTCTCCTGCCTCAGCCTCCTGAGTAGCAGGGACTACAGGCGTGTTCCACCATGCCCGGCTAATTTTTTGTATTTTTATTAGAGATGAGATTTCACCGTGTTCGCTAGAATGGTCTCAATCTCCTGACCTCGTGATCCGCCTGCCTCGGCCTCCCAAAAATTTAAGCATTTTTAATGAAATATTCTTTGGGTTCATGGTTTTAACTATTACATACTGGTATATCACAAATACGTATGTTGCTCTACATTGCTGGGTTTTGTTTACTTGTTGATTTTAGGAGTACCCTACATGAGTGTCAGGAATTGAAAACTTGAAAAGAAATATCACATATTTCTTTACCTTTATACTGAATTAGACAATCCTCTCAATTATGTTATTACTGCAATTGCAATATATCATTAAGTTGATATATAACTCATTCCCACTTAACTCTTGTTACAATTATCTTACAATCTATGACATATTAGAACTGATAAAATATAGTATAGTCTAGAACCATTGGCCATTAGGTATTTAGGTCATCTCTGAACTGAAAATAAAGAGCTGGAGGGGCTAACTCAACATGAGTTAATTTAATATTGTGAAGGCTAGAAATTAGGCTCATTCAAAAAACCAAAGAAGCAAGGATCTACTTTCTTATTGTAATGAATGTCTAAGGAGATGTAATACCATTCAAAAAAACCTCTTGCCCTAATAGATATTTATGTAAAAACATTAGGACAGTATTTCCCCTTCTAGGATCATTGGATGTACATGATTTCTGTATGTCACCCTCCAAATAAAACAAATGACTCTAGACATCATATATAAACCAAACATAAGAAGATTCTGAATGAGAAGAAGAAAACAGATCAGCTAGAGACCCAAGGAACAACACAGTCAATAGGTTGTCTCACCTATCTGTTTGCCAGTTTCTTCAGCTCCAAGTCTGGAATCTGTCAACACCAATTGGAGCTGACAAAAACCTCCTTCAAATCTTGCTCTTTACAGTCAAAGGACCATGAAAACGGAAGTCTAGCAATACAAAAAATCTTTTAGAGAATAACCTCTCTATTCCAGACAGATACCACAGAAAATTTTGTGGGTCAAAACCCACTCATGTCAGCAAAGGCTGAACGGGGACTCAGACTTCAATGCTTGCTAAGCAGTAACAAAGTACTGCAACTCTCCCCTTGGAGTGGCATTAGAGATGGCAGAGTAGGGAGCCTGGACTTTCATTCCACCAGATATTAATGAGGCCACCTCTTCACATTTCAGTGGAGACCAGACAAAGAGCCTGGACTTCCACTCTTAACCTTCAGTAGTGAGATACTGCCACCTTCACTAGGGTGATATAATATCTATCCTAGTGAATAGTAAGGAATTATACATAGACCGGTGGTTGACAGGTGACTAAACTCCTCTCTTGTTCTGTCACTGGAGGACACATGGGGAACAGTAACAAGGCATTCCTTTCCTTCCAGTCAGGTATCATTGGAGGCCTATGAAGGAGAACTGCCATTACTCAGGAGTAATGATGGTTCTCCCTCATTGGGTGTCAAAAGAAGCAAAATAAAAAATCAGCTTCTACTACAAGAGTTCAAAGGAAGCCAGTTAAAAAAGAAGGTTTAAATACGATCCAGGGTCTTATAATATGCATTGTAAATATCTAAATCTCAATAAACAATTAATTGTCATAGAAGAATCAGAAAAATCTCATATGGAATAAAGAAAGATAATAAATAGATGCAACACTAAGAGTAGAGGGATAATATCATTAGCTTTAAAGGTTTTGAAGTAGCCACTATAAGAGTGCTAACATAAGCAATTTATAAACGTTTGAAATAAATAGAAAACAAAGTCTCAGCAGAAGAAAAGATTTTCTTAGTAATGATATGGGAGAACCAAACACAAATTTTAGAACTGAAAAATATAATACCTAAATTTTAAAAACTCAATTAATAGGCTCAGAGCAAAATTGGGAGGATAAAAGAGAAAATCAATGAACTGGTAGATAAAACAACAGAAATTCATTCAATCTGAATAACAAAGAGGAAACAGATTTAAAAAAAAAACATGTTTTCAGAGATCTGTAAGACTATAACAAAAGAATGACATTTGTGTCATCATGGTTCCAGAAAGATAAGAAAATAAGGACGGGACTGAAAAAAAGTTCAAAGAAATAATGACTGAAAATTTGGCAAAAGATATCAATCTAAAGATTAAATAAGCTAAGTGAAACACAAACAAGATAAACACAAAGAAATCCAATTCAAGTCACATTATAATGACACTTCTGGCAACTAAAGGCACAGAAAAACTTGAAAGGAGCAAGACAGACATGACATCCTACTTCTATGGGAAAAAACAATTAAAATGATAGTGGATTTCTCTTTTAAAGGCTAGAGACCAAAATGAAATGAAGTAGCATTTTAAAGAAAGTAATTGTTGGCTAAAATCCTATAGCCAGTGAAAATAAACTTCAAGAATGAAAGTAAAATCAAGACCCTCTAAGATGAAGGAAAATTAAAATAATTTGTTGCCAACAGATATAACCTAAAATAATAGCTAAGTGAAATTCTCTAAGCAGAAAGGAAATGAGAAAAGAAGGAATCCTGGAACATCAGTAAAGTACACAATAAGCAAAAACAAAGAGTAAAGACAGTAGATTCCCTCCTCTTGAATTTTCTGAATTATATTTGTTGATGGAAACAAATTTTAACAGTGACATGATTCTAAATGTATTTGACAGTTTTAAATAAGGGAAGGCAAAGGAATGTAAAGGAAGTAAGGTTTCTAAACTTTGCACAAAATAATAAAATAAGAAAAAATTAAAAAGCAAAGAGGCAAACTGAAATCCAAAATTCAAATGGAATGATTAAACCCTCATATATCAATAATTTTATTAAACATAAATATGTAAATGCAGCAAATAAAAGATGAAGATTCACAAAGTGGATTAAAAAATATGCCTCAACTACCTTCTGTCAACCAGAAACTGAAACTCACTTCAAATATAACAGTATAGACAAGTTGAAAGTAAAAAAAAAATGAAAAAAGTTTACTATGCAATACTAACCAAATGAAATGAGTATTGGCTACTAAGTACACGTTAGAGCAAAGAAAACTGCCAGAAACAAAGAGGGCATTATACAATTATAAATGAATGACTCTTCCAAGAAGACCAAGCAATCCTAAACCTATATATATCAAATACATAGCTAGAAATATATGAAGCAAAAACTAAAATAAATGAAAGTAGGAATAGAAAAATTCATAATTATATTTGGAGACTTTAACACCCCTCTCTCAACAATGTATAGACAGAAAACCTGCAAGAATATACATCTTAAGACCATCAACTAACAGGATCTACTCAACATTCATAAAACATTCCACTCAACAACAGCATAATAAATATTCCTCTTAAGTGCCTCTAGAGTAAATACCAAGACAGAGCCAATTTTGGGTCATAAAACAAACCTCAGCAAATTACAATAGCTGAAATCATACATAGTATGTTCTCTGACCACAGTGGAATAAAACTGAAAATCAGTAACAGAAACATAACAGGAAAATCTCCAAACACTTGGAAACTAAGCAACACTCTAACAATTCATAAAGAAGAAATTTTGAGGAAAATGAAAAATACCTTTAATTATATAGAAGCAAAAATACAATATATCAAAAATATTAGGATGCAGGTAAATCAATGGTGATAAGAAAATTAATAGTCTGCATTATAAAACATTAACTGTCTAAAATCAAAAATTTTAGTTTTTACATCAATAACCTAGAAAAAGTGGAGTAAATAAACTCAAAGCAAGGAAAATAATGAAAATAAGAGAAGAAATTAATGAAATTAAAAACAGATATAAGAGAAAATCAATGAACCAAAGAGCTGGTTCTTTGGAAACATTAATAAATCTCTTAAGGCTCTAACAAATTAAATGAGAGAGAGAAGATGAGAAATTACCAAATCAGAAATGAAATGAGATAATATTACAGACCTGTGAGATAGAAAATGCATAATGAAAAAATACTATGAACAACTCTATACATGTAGATTGATCCCTAAAATAAACACAAACTACTATGTGTCACCCAATATTTTAATTTTAAATATACGATAACTATTAAGAAAATTCAATTTGTGACTTAAAAAATCTAACTTCCATTCCCCTATCCTTCCAGCATCTCCAGAGCTACTTGGTTTCACTGGATGAATGCCTAAACAAGAACTAAGACTCCATGTTCTCTTCTAGAAAATAAAAAAAATAAAGAAACTCTTCTCACTTTATTTTATGAAATTAGTATTACTCTCATACCAAACCAAATATAGCACAAAATAAGAATCTATAGACCGATAGTTATTTTATGTATACAGATGAAAAAATTCTTAGCAAAACATCAGTAATTAAAATTTTAAAATATGTAAAAAGAGGAATACATCATGACCAACTGAGTTTATTCCAGAGTTGCAAGACTTTCAGTATTCAAAAATTAATCAATATAATTTATCATATTAATGGTATAAAGAAGAAAAATTTCATTATTAGATCAACTTGTGCAGAAAAAGGTAAACACCTACTATCAAAAAACTCTTAGAAAAATACAAATAGAGGAGAAATTCCTCAATTTGATAGGGGAAATCTTTAAAAACCTACAGCTAACATATTTACAATGATGAAAGTTTGAGAGGTTACTCCTATGTAAGAAAGAACAAATTCTTTCTTCCGTTCTTATTCAATACAGTGCTGGAAGTCTATCCTGGGAGTCAGGCAAATAAAGAAATGAAAGACATAAATATAGGAAAGGTAGAAATAAAATCGCCCCTATTTGCTGATGACAAGATAGTGAAAAGGATTCTATAAAAAAAACTCCTTGGAGTAGTAAGAGAGTTCAACAAGTTCACAAAAGACAAGATGAACATACAAAAATCTGTTATTTTTATATATATTAGCAATGAACCCATGGGCATCGAGGTCAACATATATCATTTACAGTGATTCAAAAATAAAATACTTGTGTGACAAAACACATAGAGTAATTAAATGTTGTCAACTACACAACACTGAAGAATGAAATTAAAAACTAAATAAATTATGAATATATATATATACATATGTAATGTTATTGGATTAGAAGGCTCAACATAGCAAAAATGTCAATTTTCCAAAAATGATGTAGAGATTTAACACCATTTTTATCACAATCTCAGGAATTTTTTAAAATAAATATTCGAGTTTATTTTAAAATTTATACGGAAAGTCTAAATAACTAAAATGACTAAACACTTTTGAAGAAACAAGAAGGTCTAAAATAAAAAATACAAACAACCTCAAACAATGATGCAGATAAATTTATCACTCACACTTTGCTACTTGGAATGTAAAATGGTGCAGCCACTTAGTAAAAGTGATTTTCATTTTCTTTAAGAAACTAATCATACAACTACCACATATTCCAAGAATTTCATTCACGGGCATTTATCCTACCCAAAACAAAAACTTATGTTCCCTCAAAATACCTGTACACAGATGTTTATACAGCTTTCTTTGTAACAGCTAAAAAATGGAAAGATGTCCTTCAAGGGGTGAAAAGTTAATAAACAAACAGTGATACATGGGTATTATTAGTTACAACTCAGCAGTACAAAGGAATGGATTATTAGCACACAAAAACGTCTTACTCAATCCCCAGAGAAGTATGCTGAGTGAAAAAAGCCAATCCCAAAAGATAACATTTTTTGCTAGATTTATTATTTTTTTGCTAAAGATAGAATTTTGATAAACAGAGCATTCTTGAAATTACAATATTATAGAAATAGAGTACAGATTAGTGGTTGACCAGGGCTAAGGAGGTGGTAGGGGCAGGAAGGGAAGTGGGCATGGCTATAACAGGGTACCATTAGGCATCCCTGTAGTGTGGAATTATTCTCATCTTGACTGTATCAATGTCATTATTCTGGCTGTAATATTATACTACAGTTTTCCAAGATGTATTGAAGGAAACTGGATAAAGGATATACACAGCCTAATTTCTTACAACTGCACGTGAGCCTACAGTTATGAAAAGAGAACTATTGGGTACTGGGCGTAATTCCTGAACAATGAAATAATCTGTACAACAAACCCCTGTGACACAGGTTTACCTATGAAACAAAACTTCACATGTAGGCCTGAATCTAAAATAAAAGTTAAAAAAAGAAAATATGGTAAGAATATTATTATTATTTTTTACCAAAAGAAAGTATCATGCTTAATTATGACCCAAAGGATATTCATCAGACAAAAGAAGTGCCCCTGAGGAGGTAGGTATAGGCATAGACATGTAAGGGGCCTGAGGAGGGCATTGCAAAAAATACTTAGTCAAAGTGTGTTACTTTTCCAGGGACTCGGGGACAACCTGGCCTGCTACAACTAAAGAACTGTAAAAGTAGCTATACAAAGTTAGGACAGCTTTGGAACATAAAATGATACAGAATTTCTGCCAGACATGGTGGTGTTCACCTATTATCCTAGCTAATTGCGAGACCGAAAGGTAGGTTCGAGGTTGCAGTGAGCTATGATCACACCACTGCACTTCAGCTTGGGTGACAGAGTGAGACTCCATCTCTAAAATTAAAAAAGAAGAAGAAGAAGAAAATTGATGCTAAAATTTCATCAAGTCTGTCCTTAAGTGGACATTTTTTATTTATTTTTAAATTATTTTTCTATTAACAACATTGGCTGTGCTTTTTGTTTTGTTTTGTTTTTGCTTAAACACATACACATTTATTTTGTGGTTACCTAACATTTGCAAGGGTTTCTGGGTAGATAGGATGGTGAAGAGGGATAAAAGATTCAGGCTGATAGAGAGTTTCCGATTTTCAATACATTACTTCCAAGTTCGCCGAAGTCGTTTCCATTCAGTTCGTGGAAGGAAAAAGAGTATGGAGGAGAATTTTCTGTGAGATTTTTATGGGCTAGACCTGATAGTGGGACCCTCTCTTCCACCCTCATTCCATTGGCCAAAACCCAATCACGTTTGGAAAAGGTGGGAAGGAAAGCTGGGAAGGTTATGTGGTCCAGCTGTGAGTCCAGAGGAAAGAGAAGAATGTGGAGTTCAGGAAGCTGTTGTCTTTGCTACACTTCTCCCTCCATGCCTTGCTCCTCCTCTGAGTCTTTTCCCCTGTTTCTTCTTCTAATGGGGGGTTGTGCACTTTGTTCTGTTTTTAACATTTAAACCAGACAGGGTTAAAACAAAGATATAGAAATAGAGATTTGGTGTTCCATAAATTGAGTAGGCAAGCAATATTTGATTAAATGTGATTGAAATAAGACTGGAATTATTCTATTTATTTTCTTTACACCCCTACTCCACCCTGTGAGGTTTTGTTGTTTTATTTTGTGTTGCTTTGTTTCTTTTCTCTTCATTTCTCATAAAATTTTTAGCGTAGATCATGTGTAAAAAAAGAAAATCCTATGGAGAATGTAGTCTGAGTTAGCCATCTACTCAGTGAAGTTTCAAACTGAGATTTCTTTACCTATATTAAGCATTATGCCCTCTGCTTGGCATAGAAGACTGTCAACAAATTATAATTACTCATTTTATTTCTCCTTTCTTTCTCTCTTTTCTCTATTTAATAATGCTGTTCCATTCCTTCCTTTTCCCTCTTCTCTGACTCAGAGTTTTCAAGCTTCTCTCCTGGATTTCTTTTTCCAGATGAGTTCATTGTTTCTGAATCAATCATATTCTCCAGACATTTCTTAGGGCTGGTTCTATGTTTTAGTGAAACAAATGATATTAACTTTTAGGTTTGTACCTCTAATGGTCATGCATAATAAAAACATTGTGCTGTTGTTTATCAGATTTATCTCCCTGGAGGTTGGGGTTAGGGATTGTTAGAGCAGAAATTCAAACAGAAAATAAATAACTTTTAAAATAATTTTGGAAGCATAACCTTATTTAAGTCCTAAATTCTAAATCCTTTATGCTTCTGCTCCTCCCATATTATACCAAGAGTCAGTCCTCAGTCTTGGTGAACAGATCAAATCTTGCTCCCCTCCACTAGCATTACATTTTTCTCTCAACATCTCCACTGAGCTCTTCTGTTTTCCTCCCAAGGTGATTCCCTATTGAGTAGAAATGACAAAAGTTATTATTTCAGTGATTCTCTTATCAATACACTCAAACATTTCTCTTCCCCCACTATATTAATATATGTGCATTTTTAAAATTAATATACTATAAAATAAATATTTATATAATAGAGAACAAAATTGTTGATAAAATATATTTACTTTTGATGATTTCAAGCTTTCCAAAAGGGTAAGTCAAAATACACACTTAGGTTCTGGCCCAGCAATGAATATCACAGAAGTGAATTCATGTTTAAAATAATCTTGATAATTCACTTTTTGGCTGAAATCATGTAAGAGTTGATTATCCTTTCCAATCATTTCTAGATTGTACTTTTAATCTTATGTTAGTAGTAATTTAAGGTTTTGTGGCAAAAATATTTTGTCATTTATCCATTTGTGACTCTTAGCTAAATCTAGATAATAATATCACTTAATATAACCACAGATATTTCTAAATGATTTTATTCACCAAGAGAGAAGAAAAAAGCAAATATGACACTTTCTAACTTACTATTCTATAGAATTTCCTCTCCTAAGATGTTTTACTTAATATACACTATCCTTAACCACAATAGGTTAGAAACAATTTATAATACATGAGAGTTCTCCTTTTCTTTCATCCTTTAGATGTAGACAATACTTAGAATACATTTTGAATTACATGAATATGATGGATATGAACTGTTGTCTCAGTTGTAAGTTATTTTGTATTTACTTGATAACTAATTTAATCAAGTTGCTTTTCATGTACATTGACAAGGTCTTCAGCTCATTCTACTTCTTCATACTGTATAAGATCAAGGTGACATAGCTTTTAAACAAGAATGTATTAAAAACTCAATCTCAATTCCTAAAGCCTGTATCTTGGGCCAGCATGCTATCAGCTCCAAATTGCTAAGTCTTGGAGTTCCTTCTTTGTTTCTGGTAGCTCCTAAAAGAAGCCTTTTCTCATTCCTCCTTCTGATTTAGCCAGCTTATGTTTTGTCCTTCACTTTTTTTTTCCCCTCAAAACCACACTGAATGCATATTGTGTGCCAGGAAATATGCCTTTTCTGCTTCCTCACAGCATACTGAGAAAACCAGATTCAAAAATGTGATCACATAGCACTGCTTATCATCTTGTTGATTTTCCTGTTGATATCTCTGTGTCTTTCATTAGACTCTAAGTTACTTCAAGTTATAGTCAGTCACTGTCTTTTAGGTGTTCATAATTTTAGTGATCTAGCAAATATTAGAAAGGTTTATAATTTTAGTGATCTAGCGAGTTTTTTTTAGCTATGAAAAGATTGCAGTGTATTTTCATTTGGTGCAGATAATAATGCTTCTGTTTCTGAGTATGCAAATACTTTTTCATGTGGCAGGCAACAAAACATTAAATTGTCATAAACTCCTTTGTTTCATCCTACTGTTATGGGAGGAATTCCTGCCCTAGGGTTATGTGAATGGCCTAGCACAGGACATACAACATCAGACAGGTAAGGGTGACAGCAGATTATTAGCCACATATATGCACAGCCTGAAGTGAAGAGGACACCACATGCCATGCAGTAGCCACATGGGGCTGTCCTTGGGAACAGGGTAAACCAGGGGCTGTGGGAGGGGACAGGCTTTCTAGTGTGATGAGGATGGTGTGCCCTTGTATTTAACGGAGAGATGTGATTAGCTTATTTGAATCATTCTGTAGGCCACCAGAGAATTGAGATCCATTACTCAAGGAAAAGCAGGAATTACATTTGGTCCCCCAGACAAGGAGGGTTGTTTGACTAGGAAACCTTACCCATGGGGGCAGAAGGAGAGGGGGGTACTGGGGTTAGGCCGTTTGAAGCTCTTTCAATTTTACCAGATGTCAAGGCAGTACATAATATTGAGCCTTAACTTTAGTCCTTACACAACACAAATCCAGATACACAAACAATTTATTCTAGCTGGTATTATCTTCACACTGAGAGAGCAGATTGAGGTCTTACCTTTGGTTACACTTTTCGGTAACCACAAACAAGGCATATTAAATAGAATTTTGTTGAAATTTTTCTCCTGTAGAATTAATTTATTCCTACATATTAAAATAATTTACAAGTAATGTTTTCTTGCCTTCATTAATTTTTACAAATGTGAATGAAATATTCCACAGTGTACAGAAAACTGCTGACTGACAGCTGTTGAAAGCTGTCTATCAAGGTGAAGGCGAAAAAGAAAATACATAAGCCAAAAAAAAATTCTCAGATGCACGTTAGTTATCAAAATGAATTCTATGCAAGCACTGAAGGAAAAGTTCGCAATATTCACAACTGTTCTCTGAACACCATTCAATGAATAAAAGTACCTGTGAAATTGCTGAATCTCTAGAGGAACTGAATACAAATAAAAGATTTATGCCATTTTCAGTGCACTACAGAAACATAGTAGAAAGTAAAGTTTGCATAATTCAAATTTGGATGATACAGTGAATAGTCAGGGGAAAATAGTAGGAAGTCTACATACTTTGTAAATTGATAAAACAATGTCATAACAATAAAATGAGTATTGAAAATACATCAGTAAAATCCATTGGGAATAGTAATGAAATATTTAGTTCATTTTTATTTTTGTCATACTCAAAAGGCAAATGTCATTCAGACTAAATTGATTGCTATTTTGATGGAATAAATCTTAAAAAGTTAACCAATATGCAAAATGAACAACAAAAATATAACATGTACAATGGGGAGATTAATTTAAGGATATAGAGTAACATAACAAATCTCAAATGGTAGAAACATAAAACATATATGAATTATCATCTCTGTATTAAAAAATAAAAATTGTAACAGGGTCATACACTGAATCAGATATTGAATAATTATATATAGAATTGCTGTATATGTAATTAGCTTCAAATGTTTTATCTTGATATTTCATTCACTCAAACAGACATTCCTTCTGTCACCATTTCATGACTGATCTACCATGCATAATCATTCTGCTAAGAAAATAACCCAAAACAGTTGCAAACATAACAGACATGGTTTCTGCTTTCATAAAATGTACAATATAATGTGAAATATCTGGCCGTAGTTCTGGAAGTCAGACACTCCATAGTTGAAATTTGAGGTTATATATTGTTTCTGTCTCAAAGAGGGCTATGCAATACACTTTTCAGTGATGATGGGGATACTCTATATCTGTTCTGTCTGCCAATATTAAGTAATAGAAATGTGGCTAGTGAGACTAATTTTTATTTAATTTGAATTAATTTCATTTAAACTTAAATAGCCACATATGGCTAGTGGCTACCACATTGGCCTGAGCGGCAGAACTATTATAAATATCAAATGTACATAAAGCAGTTAATACAGTGCTTAGCACTTAATATTAAGTGCTTAATATCAAGTAGTTATTAGCATCAATGATAATGATGACAATATAGGTTTCCTGGGAAAGAGATCTGTCATGTTTGGGGCTACCTTTTCCCTTTGATCTGATTCATATCAAACATAATTCTTAGACATATTCAGTTGTTCAAGCAGTTTGTTATGGCAGCAGTCTTACAAGATGGATAGCAGGAGTGTGCTGATGTCACAAGCCAGATATAGTCAGGGGCCAGATGATGAGAGGGTCTCCATTTGGAGACAATCTCAGAGTTTGTCCTGAGAATACACATTATTATAGCAGTAGTCAGTCTGTGTCAGGTAGCAGGTGCTTAAGCATCTCTTCCATATTATGAATATGTTCAATAACTATTAGAACTATTAAACATGGATCACATTTTGGCACAATTTTGTATGTGCTAGATTTGGAATTCTTGTAAGAGTGAGCTTTGATTCTACGGTTTATGAGAGTTGCATCTGTGCTGAAGTAATCTTTTCCCCTGTAAATCCCTGGGTCAGGATTGGAAATTCCCAGGCTAGGTTGCATCATACTGCTAAGTGACACTAGGGTAGGTTCTGTGAGATGTTTGAGTGGGCCTTATGTCTATCATTAATCTTACAGCCACAATATGCCTCTTATAGTGCACTACAAGATCAAATAGTTTAAAAATGAGAAAAACTTTTTGCATATTTTGATATTAAAGTTCACTAATGAACTTATTTCTGAGTAATCATAAGATAAATATTACTTTGATGCTTATAGTCACAGTATTAAAATTTAATATACATTAAATGAGAATAAAGAAAAAAACCCACAACTAAAACACAATACTTAGTAGCATCAATTTCTCAGAAAGGTGAGTTCAGATATGAATAACATTCATCATAAGAGGCAGATCATGTATTGCCCAGGTGGGACACCTGAAGATTTGTTTCCAGTTCAAAACAAGGGAATCTACAAAACATCCCAGAATCGCAACAGAGTCCTTTATTTTTTTTTCAGGCCACAGCACTGCAGATCACACGGTATAGTGATGTCATGCTACGACACCTCTGCCATGTCATAAATATGTTCAGTAACTATTAGAAATGGGTCATATTTTGGCATGATTTTGTACGTGCTAGATTTGGAATGTTTGGAAATTGTTTATATCTGGGTAATAATAGTATGTTTTAGAGTAAAAACATTGCAGAGAGTGAACACAAATTCAAAATAGCATGCTATCTAGACTGACTCATATTATAACTAGAGATTATTCTTCGCAAGAAGGTACACATTGGGAAAGGAATTACAGTAGTCCTAAAGCCAGAGTTGTTTTGGATATAAGACAAGTTACTTCATATAAAACTGTGATAAATAATAGTAATTTTTATTTTGTTGGTACCATCATAAAGTGCTGACTATCCAGACATGATATACTAATCTTATTCAGCTCTGAGCTATACTAATAATTAACCAAGTACATTAAAAGGGAACCACAACAATGCTACATCAATAATGGTGGGGCCTTGAGCTTGTCATAGACAGCTTCCTAAGGTTACTTTTCTCCACAGGACATGTTTTGGGTTCACAGTGCCAACTGTGTATGGTACAAGTTATCATGGAGAGTCAATTAGTCTAGAATTTCTCCTTTTTCATATATTGCTACTAGTTCATGCTAGCAATATGTAGCATTGTTGTGGTTCCCTTTTAGTGTACTTGGTTAATTATTAGTATAGCTCAGAGCTGAATAAGATTAGTATAGCATGTGAATCTGGATATTCAGCACTTTATGATGCTACCAAACCATAAAAATAACTAATATTTGTCACAGTTTTATGTGAAGTAACTCGTTTGTCCAATCATAGCTGGACAAACTGCATGATTAACTTTTCATCAAAGCTATGGATTATAAGACCACAAACTGTGGGTTTATTTACAATAAACAGCCCTGACAGACCAGTATGCCCTGATAAAAATATTATTTAGATAGTCATTAGTTCACAGCAATACTTGGAAGTTCCCCTACCCCATTTCATTACTGGACCTATAACATAATTTTTTGCACATTTTCACTGTGGGATATTCACATTTATGAAAAACAGTATTATTCATAATAGCCCCAAACTGACAACAAATAAAACATTGACCAGTAATTGAATAGGTAAATGAAATATGGTATATTCCTTTAACAGAATGCTATGCAGCATGAAAAATGAATTAACTATGGCAACGCATGTTTTCAGTGGGTGAATCTCTAAGTATATGAGTTAAGAAATCAGACAAGAGTACACTTACTGTACAATTCTATTTATTAAAAAATTGAAAGCAGGCAAAATGAAACACTAACATACAGAGATGGATATTCAAGTGTAATCCTACAAAGACAGGTGTGAATACTGTAAGCCTTCATAGTGGTTTTCTTTAAGGAGAGTAATGGAATTATGTTTGGTAGGAAGAAGTTGAATGTTTCTGGAGCTATCAAAATGTTTCGTTTCTTATCTTAGATAATGACGATATAGCAGTATTTTGTTTTCTTTTGGGAGGTTGGGAGGAGTTATTTTTTAAAACAATGTGTGTCACTGAACTCATATTTTATTCAATTTTTTTTTGAGACAGAGTCTCTCTCTGTTGCCCAGGCTGGAGTGCAGTGGCAATCTCGGCTCACTGCAACCTCCGCCTACCAGATTCAAGCGATTCTCCTGCCTCAGTCTCCCAAGTAGCTGGGATTACAGGCATGTGCCACCATGCCCGGCTAATCTTCGTATTTTTAGTAGACATGGAGTTTCACCATATTGGTCAGGCTGGTCTCAAACTGCTGACCTCAGATGATCAACCTACCTCAGCCTCCCAAAGTGCTGGGATTACAGGCATGACCCACCACGCCTGGCCTATTCAATTTTTCTCTATGTGGGTTTTACTTCTCAATAAAAGAGTCATAGAAGTAATAGACTACATTTGTAAAAAGGAACAAGACAAGGTACTTTTCTTTGTTCTTCAGAAAAATTAGTATTCATTATGCACTCAACTCAATAAAATGTTTAGTCAAATATCTCTGATCGACATGGAGGTTGTTTTTAAATTGATGATTGACTATCATCAATCATCAGGGATGAAGGTTTGCATAGAAGGAAATGTGCAGATTATTTATCTGCATGTGTATGTGGTTTGTTTTATTGCAATAACTATTGCTTTTGTAGTTTGAAAATAATCTATAGTAAAATATGTATAGGATTTTTAATTGGCCATTACTATAGAATTTTACAATGACTTATTTTTAAAGATAACATTGTTATAGGAATACAGTGAGCATTGTTGACTGCCTCCTCATCATCTATTCCTGTGTCATTGTTTCCCAGACTGTAGGATGAGTGGGTTTGATTCGATCTTCCATGTCCAAGAATGGGTCATGATTGGCACCTCCTCTTGCAAAAGTTGTTGCTTCAAAAGCTGAACCTAAATTGTTCTAAACAAAATCAAGCCCAGATGGTGGTAATTGTTGGAAGATATAAAATTTTCCCTTTTAGACAGTGTGGAAAATGAATGTAAAATCTTAAATAGTGGCATCGATTTCACTACTACAGGAAAAGCCAGCCTGTGGATGAAGTGGCAGAGCTGAGAGTCTTTCAGTTATATTGAGTGGTCACTTGATCTAAATTAATCCAGGCTCTTTAGTTATTTGTGAGATGGAAAAGCCCATCTTGGTGAACCCCATTGGTGTGGATGTGAGGCAAGTACTTACATCTGCTTTTGTCACTTTGAGTTGGGTTTTCTGTAGTTTACAATTGACCACATTTCACCTGATGTAATTAAGATCTGGATGGTGAACAGAGCATTGTCTGTTATGCTTTGTTATGTTTTACATTGTAGATTTGTGAATCTTTAAATTGTTCAGGGAATAATAGAATTTTCAATAAACATTAGCTTTTATTCACATCTGAACAAAACCACAATGATGCAGGATGCTTAATAACTAAGCTAAAAGCTGATGTAAGGGAAATGCAATTCTATAACCTGCAGATTTTGACTTAGTATGTCGTTAAACTCTTTGCAATTTTGCAAGAAAAAAAAAACTCTAAAAGGTAAATGTAAAATCCCTGCTAATTCCAAATGGTCCCAAAAGGTTTTCTATGCAACTCAATGATTTCTGCCTTGTGTAGTTGTTTATCAAAATTTTATAAAATAGTATTTGTATTATGTGAAGCAAAGTACAGTTATTTATTCCTCCCAACCTTGACATCTCAGATACTCTCATTTTAAAAATGTAACCATATTTTCCAGCCCCAATTTATTTCTCACTTTCCTTCATACTTCCACTCATATGACTTAAAGGGAGACTGTCTCATTTGAGCTCACAGCCATATTCTGGAAAAAATCTGATTGTTCAGCAAATATCAGAGATTGCCTTAAGATACAGAGTTTAACAAGAATGTATTCCAATTGTTGTCATTAAAATCAAATTCCTAACATTGGACACTGAAGGAAGACATAGAAGTAACTCTGGAAGTCAGGAAACAACAAAGTAACTATAGGCATAACCTTCTTCCAAAATGTGGGGAATTATTGAAAACTGAGCTATCAAAAAATTCTCTAATATATTTCAGCAAAAATATGTGGCTCAATCTGAATTGAAAAATTAATTCTAGGATTTGTTAGATATGTTAATTGGTTCAAATCAAAATTAACATATGAAAGGAAAGAAAGACACTGAAAATAGACTGTGAATTAAAGCAGCAAAAGAGGTAATAGAAATAAACCTTACATGTGACAGCCTGTCACCTCAATAAAATAAGGTTGTGTGGCAAAAAGGCAGCCATTGCAAAAAAACTATGACACTGATATCCAAGAGCAGCTTCAATGTTGGTCACATAGACACTTTCTTTACAAATATTCATGTCATTAATCTTCTTTCAAAAATCGCTGAGGTATAAATATCAGCTAGACTTGCATTAGCAAAGAATGCAAAAATGAATGTGCCACACTCTTTCTTGCTGTTTCTATTTATACACATTACAGTAAGTAATGCCATATGAGAGAGGCCAGATGTTCTGAATGCTCGCTTTTACCTGTCATATACGTAGAGCTTACAATGTATCTTAAGACATTTAGAAACTCATTTTTCTATACCTATTTTGTCTTGTGTTTGTTTTGTAAAGTCTTTCCTAGAATGGGACCAAAATGAGATTTACATTAGAGTAATCTTGTTTATTTCTATATTATCATATAAGCCATTTGTTACTCATGTAAACACATATTCATACTTATAGACCAAGATAGACAGAGAGCTAATTTTTTATATACAATTAAAAAAATCATGGTATGTAATAGAAAATACAATAAATACATGTTGATATAGTAAAGTTAGAGAAATATCTTTATATTCAAAGCAGTATGCAAAAGGCTAAAGAAGAATATAAAACCCTGCAATGATGCACATTATCTAGGAGTCCAAACAGAAGTAATAAAATGAAATCTTAGTGCTCTTCTTGAGGTGTAAGGAAAACATTATGGAGACAGGTAGGAGGAACTCTGACTTAATAAATGGCAAAACACTTTGTAGAATTTGTTAGGAGAGAAGAGGCAAGTGCAATCCATGTAGAGGAAATAGTATATGGAATGGATCACTAGATGTGCAGGGCATCAAGTAGTTTATTCTGGCAATGATAGAGTTTGCTTAGGTAAGAATAGTAAGGTGATTCTGGACAGGTTTGCTGGACTCAATCATAAAGAGTTTTAAGTCTCCTGGAAAGTCTGAAAAATCAAAATAAGGTAAGACAAAGGTGAAAAGTGCACATCAAACTCTTAATAGCAGTGGTAAAGGTCAAATGATGTAGTGCAGGAAGGTGTCAGAGAAACCATAGGGTATTAGTGTTACTGTAAACAACACTAACATCAAACAACATTTGAAGGGGGTTGTCAATAAGTCTCTGGTAAGGGGATGAGATAGATAGAAATGTGTGAAGAAGGTATTTAGAATTTAATACCCACACGATTGCAATAAGCTACATTTTGGAATCAAGAGACAGAAAGGTACGCTTAGACTATCAAGGTCCTGACTTGAGTGCCTAAAGGATGATGGATGATAGTAAGAAACACTGAATATGAAATACTTTTAAAGGAATTAAAATGAGTTTAGACTTTGGACACATTAATATTGAAATTGTTATGGGACGTTTGTGGTTGTGTCAGGTATTCCGTGAGTAATTTCTGAAATTTGAGGAAGAGATTTGGCTATCATGTAGAGATACTGAAGTTATTGCTATGTAAAAACAGGAAAGACCTTGTCAAAGAAAACTGAAGATTCAGAACTATAACTTATGGAAAGCTTTAGTGATTATAAAGCTAAATTTAGAGACTATGTAATTATTATAAAACTAAATTTAGAGACTATGTAAAGATAGAGCATATAATGTCTGTTATAGAGACATCTCATGTAGTGAAACGACATTTAATCAAGGAGAGAGAAAAGAAAGAAAGATATAGGAGGTTATGAGTTAAATAACTACTGAAATATTTTAGATTTGGTCCACCTTTAGATAACATAGTTGATGACTAAGTTAACATTTTATTTCTATTGTGTGACCTTATCTTAAAATACCCCTATCTAAATCTGGTATTTTGTTTCTCCTCACTTTTTAAAGAACTTTTACATGGCAGCAGACTCACAAAATCATTGATCAACTGTGGGAAGGATTGTAAGGTGAAAGCCCTAGAAGTCATGAATAGAAATAAATGCTTAGTGGGACACTTAGCTAAATCATTGAGAATGTTTAGAATGTAAGTCTCTTAAGTCGAAAAGTTTGTTATCCTCTTTTATAAATTTTTGCTGTTGTTTATTTTCTTTGGCTTTTATTTGTTATCCAAAATTCTGTACCTGGGACATAGTGTGCACTCAATAACTCAACAACTGTGAGTTGGATTCTGCAAACTACCAATATTACATTCACTTTACTTTGTACATCATATTGTAATATATGCAGAGATTCTATATATTGTACTACATGATTGTTATATCAATTGAAATTGAATACACGTTATTACCTCTAATTTATTAAGCCAAACCATGTACAGTTAGAGAGATTGGCCATGGTTACTTGACCATTGTTATCCTGATATTGATATTTATACATCCTGACAATATTACTTAATATAATGGCCGTCATGGACAGTACACTGTACTGTTTTTCTTCCTTTACAGTAACAAATACTTATTAGAATATACAAAAGAAGCAAAGATAATATTTGTAATATAATAAAGTGGTATAAAATATCAAGTGATGTTTTACAGGACATACAAAAAAATGAGATTTTAAAAAGTTTTGTGAGGTTTTAAAAATCTCACAGATAAGAGATTTTTAAAAGTTGTATTAAAATATATGGAAAAAGACTATGTATAAATTGATAAATTTGTCATATTTGTGAATGAGAGAAGTCCATATAATGATCAATGCTTTATAATTTGGTTTATTAATTCAAAGGGATTCTAATGAAAATTCCAATAGGGAGGTGTGTATGTGTCTACCTGAGTCTGTGATGTATGAAAATCTAATTTTAAAATTCATATGAAAGGGTAAAGAAAAAACTGTCAACAAAAATTAAAAGAAGAATTCTATTGAAAAAATTTCTGTAAGAGATGGAAAGCAATTTATGCATTATAATATTGTCAGTGACAAAAAAATAACAAAGAAACAGATAAGAAAGTCAAGAACTGGTCTGACATATATGGAAATAGACATGTTGATAAAAGTGGCATTACACTGAAGAAATTCATTACCTATAAAAGAAGTAAAATATAGATACATTCCTTACACTGTATATAAATGTACATTCTGTATGGATTATTGATATAAATGTAAAAGCTAAAACTTTAAAATGTAAACAAAGTACCACATTTTTTATGCATGTTCTATTCCTCATGAACAAGTATTCATGCTGGCATGGGTGATGGTTATGGGTAGACTCAGAAACATGGACTTCTACTGACCAAGACCTATCTGGCTACACTCTTTTCTGAGTGGCCCATCTGCCAACATTAGATAGCAACTTTGAACTTTCTGGTATAGCACCTTTCCCCAAAGGGATCAGCCACAGAGTTGGTGACTGTTGATTGTTTTTTACAATTTCTGTCATAGAAAGTGCAGTATCTTCCTTAAATTGACACTTATTCTGCATATGAATTTGCCTTAATTGCCTGTAAGGCATCTGCCTAACTACCATCTGTGGACTTAACATCTTATTCATTGTTATGGTATTCCACATAGCACGCTTTTTCTGAAGATCTCATTTCACAACAAATGAAGTGTGGCAATGGGCTCATGTTCATGAAGTCACTGTTTTTTTTTGTTGTTGTTGTTCCCCATTATGTTAGTCCATTCTTACACTGCTATGAAGAAATACCCGAGACTAGGTAATATATAGAAAAGAGGTTTAATTGACTCACAGTTCTGCATTGTTGGGGAGGCCTCAGAAAACTTACAATCACGGCAGAAGGCAAAGAAGAAGAAGATACCTTCTTCCCAGGGTTGCCGGACAAAGTGAGTGCAAGCAGGAGAAATGCCAGACGCTTATAAAACCATCTGATCTCATGACACTCACTCGCTATCACAAGAACAGCATGGGGAAAACTACCCCCATGATCCAATTACCTTTGCCTGGTCCCGCCTTTGACATGTGGGGATTATGGGGATTTGGGAGATTACAATTGAAGATGAGATTTTGTGTGGGGATACAGCCAAACCATATCACCCATCATGCTGAAGCAGCTGGCTTGAATAGTAGAATGGCTTAGTTACAACACCAGCTAGGTGGCACTCTGGTTGCAGAATGTACTCTAAATCATAGCTGAATAAGTGGTGCTATTTCCCCCATAACCAAGATTCATAGATGTAGTAAACCAGGAGTGAAAATGAGAGTAGCTACTTTTACTATTTACCGTAGTGATCCACTAGCAATTTTTTTTGCTTCCTATTCCAAAATTTTGGGCTTTTATGGTCTAGGACACTTTGTTTTAAAGAGAAAAATGTTTCCCTCTGGGGTTAAAGCAATTATTCCATTGAACTGGAACTTAAGATTGCCACCTGACACACTATGTTCCACATGTGATGAATCAATGAGCAAAGATGGAGGTTATGGTACTGCTACAGTGTTTGATTCTGATTACCCAGGGGAAATTGGGTCACTGCTATATAGTGAGTGTAAAAAAAAAAAATGTGCCTGGAATGCCACAGATCCTCTAGAATGCCTCTTATTACTCTTATGTTCAGTGAGTAAAGACAAAGGTAAGCTACAAAAATCCAATCGAATAGGACTGGTAACAGTTTACACCCCTCAGAAATGAAAGTTTAGGTCATCCCAGCAGATAAGCAATCACATCTATCAGTAGTGTTTGCTAAACCTAAAGGACTCAAGTTCCAGCATTGGACAGGGAGACAACAACACCTTTACAGAGACTACAGTGAATCAAGTCACACAATGACTTCAGAACATTCCCTTAATATTGATCTCTTAGTGGTTCTGTTTCTCTGTTCTAATTCTGGGTAATAAAAGAAATAGAAAGAGGTCAAATTAAAAAAAATTTAATTGTAATGATTTTTGGATATCTCAATTCTAATATTGGAAGCCAAAAGACAAATAAATAATATTCTGTAGGAAAATAATTTCCAGTTTGAAATTTTTTACCTAACCAAATTATATGCTATCTTTTCTTTAAGTTTGATATTTTTTTAAGCTCTGAGGTACATGGGCAGGTTGTGCTGTTTTGTAACATAGTTAAACGTGTGCCATGATGTTTTGCTGCACCTATTGACTCATCACCTAGGTATTAAGCCCAGCATGCATTAACTCTTTTTCCTATTGCTCTCCCACTCTGGCTCTGCGACAGACCCCAGTGAGTGTTGTTCCCCTTCCTGTATCCATGTGTTCTCATTGTTCAGCTCCCACTTATAAGTGAGAACATGTAGTGTCTGGTTTTCTGTTCCTGAGTTAGTTTAACAATAATGGCTTCCTGATTCATCCATGTCTCTGCAATGAACATGATCTCATTCCTTTTTATGGCTCCACAGTATTTTACAGTGGATATGTACCACATTTTCTTTATCCAGTCTACCACTGATGGTCATTTGAGTTGATTCCATGTATTTGCTATTGTGAATAGTGCTGCAATGAACATACACATGCATGTATCTTTATAATAGAATAATTTATATTTCTTTGGGTATAAACTCAGTAATGGGAATCCTGGGTCAAATAGTATTTCTGGTTCTAAATCTTTGAGTAAACATCACACTGTCTTCCACAATGGTTGGACTAATTTACATTCCCACCAAGAGTGTAAAAGTGTTCCTTTTTTTCTGCAACCTCACCAGGATCTGTTGATTCTTGACTTTTTAATAATGGCCATTCTGACTGGAGTGAGATGGTATCTCCTTGTGGTTTTGATTTTCATTTCCCTAATGATCAGTGATGCTGAGGTTTTTCATATGTTTGTTGGCCACATGTATGTCTTTTTTTTGAAAATTTTCTGTTCATGAACTTTGTCCACTTTTTAATGGAGCTGTTTGCTTTATTTTGGTAAATTTGCTTAAGTTCCTTGTAGATTCTGGACATTAGACCTTTGTCAGATGGATAGATTGCAAAAATTTTCTCCTATTATATAGGTTGTCTGTTTGATAACCTTCTGTGTATTCTTTCTGAGGAAGCTACTTGAGGATGTGCTTTACCCTGTGTCCCCAATCAAAAAAAGAGTAAACCAAACAAAAGGATTTCATAGAATATGTCGAAAACCTATAGATTCAACGAACTCAATGGCAAGCCAAATAACTGGCTGGAAGATGGTGAATGGTGCTCCCAGAATGACTGCTGTGGAACAGACTTAAGCCATCTAGATTGTAGCAGGCTCAAGCATCATGACCATTAACAAGGTAGGGGCCCTTATCCATGGTCTTTTGAAAAAAACAGAAAGTCAATAAAAGCATCACTTTGTTAAGACCTACATCAATGATGATATTTGGCTGAGGCTGAATGTTGAAATAATAAAGACAAATATTTCTAACATAAATGGTTATACAGAAATCTATTTTTAAATAGCAATTGGCAAGAGCTTTCACACTTCAATTCTTGTAATGCAACAGAAAGTACAAATTTGTCAAACAAGAGGAATTCCTTTATATACCCAAACTTACATGTCTATGTAGTTGGTAAGCATGGCTGCCACAGTTGGAAATTCACACACACAGAGCAAATTAAAGAAACAAAAAAGCTTGAAGTCAAGGGAAGACAATGAGAAATTATAGTAATCCCAGGCATTGAGACCCTCTGATATAAATTTGTACATTGGTACAACCTCTACAGGGAGGTTTTTCCCAATATCTACATGAATTATGAACGTACTTACCCTTTGACCTAGAAAAATATTGTTAATTTATATTTTACTGATAAACTTGTACACATGTAAAATAATTTTTATCTGAGATTATTATTTGCAAGACTATCTGAAATATCATAGATAGGAATTAATCTAATTTACCCATCTAGAGAGACATTATTAAATAAATATGGTAAAATTAAACAATGGTATACTATGTATTTTTATAGAACTCAGTCTTTTATGTTATGAAGTGGAAATTTCTTTAAGAGAAATTCTAAAGTGAAAAAAAAGTATTGCATGAACAAAATGCTTAATGCGTATTTGGGTAAAAATGTAAATAACCCATATTCACTTACCTGTACAACAAATCATTTTAATAGAATTTTCAAGGGGCTAATTGTATTGACTTCCCTCTCAAGAAAGAAAATGAGAGGCTAAAAGTAAATAGCCATAATGGAGACTTAAACTTTTAGAATATTTTAAATATTGCCCTCTATCAATATATTATCTAATAAAATAGTAAGTTAACTAAAAATTGTTCATGGAGGTAGAGAAGAGATGGGAGGCAATAAAGACAGTCTTCAAAAATAAAATGGAAAGTATATGCTCTATGACCCAGCAATCCCTTAATACCCTTAAGAATACTGGTCAGAGAGGAAGACAAGTTGTAAAGAATGCATATTATGGAATGGTCTTCTGCATTTAGAGAAAAAAAATACTAGATCTACATTCAGCAAATTGGTCTTTAAAACATGCTATGAAGAAAAGAAAGAAAATTACATCTAAAGCACAGTGGCATTTTCATAAATTCAAAATTTATGCATAAAAAGCAACATTATATATCCTACAAGGATATATATTAATACTTACCAAAGAATAGATATCAAATACTTTAGCTACCTAAGAAGAAAGGGTAGTATTAGTGATGTTTTGGCGCATGAAAAACTACCCCAATATGGACCAGGCGCGGTGGCTCATGCCTGTAATCCCAGCACTTTGGGAGGCCGAGGCAGGTGGATCACGAGGTCAGGAGATCGAGACTATCCTGGCTAACACGGTGAAACCCCTTCTCTACTAAAAATACAAAAAAAAATTAGCTAGGCGCGGTGGCAGGCACCTGTAGTCCCAGCTACTCGGGAGGCTGAGGCAGGAGAATAGCGTGAACCTGGGAGGCGGAGCTTGCAGTGAGCCGAGATCCCGCCACTGCACTCCAGCCGGGGCGACAGAGTGATACTGTCTTAAATAAATAAATAAATAAATAAATAAATAAATAAATAAATAAAGTACCCCAACACCATATCTATTACTTCAAATAGTTTCTGAGGGTAAGACATCTAGAAATGGCTTTGCTGAGTGGTTCTGATTTAGGCTTTTTCTGGAGGCTGTAGTCAAAATGTAGGCTGGTGCTATGGGCATCTATAAACTTAACTGGGATTGGTAGACCAACTTCCCAAAAAAGTTTGGATAACATAAGCCTGTTGGCTGGTGACCTCAGTTCCTTGCCCTATGGGCGTGCCCACTGAGCTGCCTGAATGTCTTCACAAATTGGCATCTGGATGCCTCCAGTGTAAGTAAACTCAGAAAGGGAAAATTTAACACACACTTATATAAAACAATAATTTATTTACTCTGATGATAGTTTCTTTTGCTGTGCAGAAGCTCTTTAGTTTAATTAGATCGCATTTGTCAATTTTGGCTTTTGTTGCAATTGCTTTTGATGTTTCAGTCATGAAGTCTTTGCCCATGCCTATGTATTGAATGGTATTGCCTAGGTTTTCTTCTAGGGTTTTTTGGTTTTAGGTTTTACATTTAAGTCTTTAATACATCTTGAGTTAAGTTTTGTACAAGGTGTAAGGAAGGCGTCCAGTTTCTGTTTGCTGCATACGGCTAGCCAGTTTTCCCAGAACCATATATTAAATAGCGAATCCTTTCCCCATTGCTTAAACAGGCAGCCTACAGAAGGGGAGAAAATTTTTGCTTTCTATCCATCTGACAAAGGTCTAATATCCAGAATCTACAACGAACTTAAACAAATTTACAAGAAAAAAACAAACAATGCCATTAAAAAGTAGGCGAAGGATATGAACAGACACTTCTCAAAAGAAGGCATTTATATGGCCAACAAACATATGAAAAAAAGCTCATCATCATTGGTCATTAGAGAAATGCAAATGAAAACCTCAATGAAATACCATCTCACACCAATTAGAATGGTGATCATTAAAATGTCAGGAAACAACAGATTCTGGAGAGGGTGTGGAGAAATAGGAGCACTATTACACTGTTGGTGGGAGTGTAAATTAGTTCAACCATTGTGGAAGAAAGTGTAGTGATTTCTCAAGGATCTAGAACCAGAAATACCATTTGACCTAGCAATCCCATTAATGGGTATATACCCAAAGGGTTAGAAATCATTCTACTATAAAGACACATGCATACATACGTTTATTGCAGCACTATTTACAATAGCAAAGACTTGGAACCAACCCAAATGCGCATCAGTGATAGACTGGATAAAGAAAATGTGGCACATATACACCATGGAATACTATGAAGCCATAAAAAAGAATGAGCTCATGTCCTATGCAGGGACACGGATGAAGCTGGAAACCATCATTCTCTGCAAACTAACACAGGAACAGAAAACCAAATACCGCATGTTCTCACTCATAAGTGGGAGCTGAAGAATGAAAACACGTGGACAGAGGAAGGGGAACATCATACACTGGGGCCTGTCAGGGGGTGGAGGGTAAGGGGAAGGAGGCCATTAGGACAAATACCTAATGCACGTGGGGCTTAAAACCTAGAGGACAGGTTGATGGGTGCAGCAAACCACCATGGCACATGTATACCTATGTAACAAATCTGCACATTCTGCAGATATATCCTAGAACTTAAAGTATAATAAAAAATAAAAAAAAATTTAATCTTATATTGCCTGATATGGTAGTGGCACAAAAATGATATGATTAGCTTGATTTTATGTACCTAAATACAAAGAAAAGCACAAATACACGTGTCATTCATACATAGTCACACAGCTATTTATGCATACTCTTGATAAGCATATTTCCAATATGTTTGCATTACCCATGATGATGCGGTGAAAATCTTTGTATAGATTTCAGTGTGTACTTGTGAGTGATATATACTTATTAGTGGAAATGTGACCTTTGTAGGCACATCTCCCTTTACACTTGCTGATAAATTTCTCCCCAAAGTGGACATAGTAATGCACAGTCCCACCAGCAGTAAGGAGAGTTCCCATATACATTATCCTTACTGAACTTGAATTTTTTGGCAAATCTAATAGATAGGAAATGATATAATGTTTTAAATTAGATTTTTCCCAATTACTAATGTTTTTGAGCACCTTCTTATGATCAATTTTAAGTTAATATTTCCACTTCTGTGAATCATCTTTTCAAGGTCTTCTTCATTTGTTTACTTTGGCTATTTATTCTTTGGGAATTATTTTAATAATCTGATTAGAAATCTTTGACCTTGTACTGCCTTGCAAATATTGTCTCCAAGTCTCTGGCATGTCTTTTTTTAGGTACCTGTTGATGGACCAAAATAATACTTCGATTTATACTGCTTTTTCTTAATGGATTATGCTTTTTGAATTTTGCTTAAGGAATCCTTCCCAACCTGAGATTATAAATATTCTTCTCTATACTTTTAATGCAATTTTCAAGAATATATTTTCAGTTCAAGTCTTTAATATGTCTGAAACTTAATTTAAGTATATTGTTATAATAGGATAGAGTTGTATTTTACTTCTTACAATGATAACAAATTGTTCTACAATTATTTTTGTATTGTTGAACGTATTTACTTTTTCTACTGATTTGTAAATATATTCTCTTACATACTAAGTTTAAATATACACATGCCCCATTCTGGGTCCTCTACATTCTTTTGATATATTTGTTTATAAAACTACACCAGGAGCAAACTGTCCAAATTACTGACTTTACAATAATTCTTTATAGCTTGTTTAATTTGCCACTTTAATATCTTTATATATTTCTGACTAGTTTAGCTATTTATTTTCATACCAACTTGGTAAGTTTCACTTAATATATTTGCTTTTAATTGAAATTTTTCTGAGTTATAGATCCACTATCAGAGGATTAAAAACTACAAACTAGAAAGGATTCTCATCTAGGCAACAGATATACTTCTGTTTGTTTAGGTATTTTATAGCTTTCAGTAATTTTCTCTATAAATGTCTTAAATATCTTTTATTAAGTTTATCACCAGGTAACTTACAATTCTTGCTGTTATTGCAGAACATAATTTTTTATTATTACATTTTAGAAGTTGTGGCTGGTATATAGAAATAATATTGATTTCTGGATCTTGATCTTATATCTGGCAATCTTGCTGAAATTTCTAATTAATTTTTATTGTTTCTAGACTTCATTAGATTATATATGTTGTCAACTGTATCATCCTTAAATGACTAACTTTACAATTGTTATATTTAATTTATTTTATTGGTTTCTTATATTATCTAAGGCCAATAATGTTTTCAATAATGTAGGTGACACTGGACATATGTTTCTTGTTCCTAACTTTAATATATTTCTCAAGTTTTCCTTAAGAGTGATGTATGTTCTAAACTCCAGATAAGGCAGTTCTCTTCTAGTTATTAAGCTTGTCTTTCTTGGTTACATGGGTTTTAAACATGAATGAGTGTTGATACATATAATTTTTCTGAACCCATTTAAGTGATTATATTGATTTTTAATAATCTAATGTTATATAGACAATTTTTCTGATGACAAACTACCTTTATATTTCTTAGAAAAATTCGGTATTTTGTTTTATATAATTTACTTAGGTGGTATTTATGTATACCTTTGTAAATAAGATTGATATATGTTTGTCTTAGCTCTATAAAGCACATTGCATTGGTACTCACTTTGGTGTCAGTGCTGTACTAGCCTCGTAAAAATGAACTAGGTGTGGGATCCTCCTCTGGTTTCTAAAAATTTGAAATAGGATAATAGTTTTATGTTTCATTAAGTTTTGGTAAAACATGTTTTTAAAAGTACCTTGATTTAGTATCAAGTGGAGATTGTTAAATGGAGATTTTTTTACTATCACTTCCATGGTTTTGGTTTAAAAATGTTTTTAATTTTATTGACTAAATTTTGACAATTTATTTGAAATTACCATTCTATATATGATTCAAAATTTATTGAAATATAGTTTTTTGCTCGCAAGGTGTTTTAAACCTTTTATAACAATGGTTTTCTTTATCTATTCTTGATATCCATGTTGGATTAATTTTAATTTTTACTATATAAATTTCCTCTCATCTTAACTCTTATTGCTTACTTTCATTTTTACTCTATTTTATTATTTTCTTGCATGCAATACTTATCTCATTGATTTTCTTGTATATTTATTAAAAACATTTATAACATAAAAGGTACCTATGAGTACAATGTAATCTCTTTTTTGTAAGATTTGGTGTTTGGTATTTTCAATAATGTTCAGATTTAAACTTTAAAAATGCACAGGAACTTTCTCAATAATCTACGATATTTTTATTCTCAATAATCTAATAGATAAGCATTAGAAAATATTTATCTATTTTTAAATTCTTTGAACATTTTTGTCTCTCGGTAGTTGGCCAGACTTTTCTTTCTTTTTCTTTTTGCTAAGTATTTAAGAGTCGTACTTGATGTATGGAATCTCAGTTTCACTTTCCCAATTTGAGTAGTTTCAAGGCCTTTTCTCCTTGAGGATTTTCAGAATCCTCTCTTTTTTTTCACTTCCTGTTTCAGGTTATGTTTTATTTTACGAAATCTCAGTTATTCTGATTGGTATTTGATTTAAATGTTTATACAGCACTTTTAAGTGTTTTTAGAAAAAAGATTATCAGGCTATCACTTAGGTTATCTTCATAGACACAAACAAGCAAACAAAATTTACATAAACTCTTATATGACAGTTTAGTTATGAAGTTCATTCTGAATCTTATGAATTCCTTAAGCATGTACAATGAGTACTTCATTCTGTTCTCTCATTGTTTTTACCATAAAATAAAGGCATCTGTGATCTATTATCTTAATTTTGTAGAAAATCTGTTTTTTTTCTTCTGGTAACTTTTAATAATTTTCTTTCTTTTTTCTTTTTGCTTCTTGTGTTTTAGTGTCAAGGACAAATATCTAGTTATTAATTCATTTTATTTTTCTTCTTCAGAACTTAGACTAAACTTTTAAACTGATAATTTACTTATTTCTTCTATTCTGAAATGTTTTAGCCATTATGCCCTTGTACATAGCAACTCTGGTTTTAACCATTGAGCCTGGTGTTAGTTTATTGGTTTCCATGAAATATATTTATTCTCCTTATATTACTTTGAAGCATCTGTCAATCACACATCATGTCCTGCACCCAGTAGGCTTGTACTTTCTGGACCACTTGTATAATTACTATTTTCTTTCAAAACAATTTTTATTTTATGTTTTGCAGATTGAACATGCTTTTTAAATTTGTCAATTTGTCTTTTTAGCTTTAATTTTTATTGCTATTAATATTTATTTGAGACAGAGAGGGAACTCAATGAATGAATTTATCAAATTATTTTGACTTTTATTTTAAGTTCAGGGATACATGTGCAGGATGTGCAGGTTTGTTACATAGGTAAACGTAAGCCATGTTGGGTTGCTGCACAGATCATCCATTACCTAGGTATTAAGTCCAGCATCCATTAGTTATTCTGTCTGGTGCTCTCCCTTCCCCTGTCCCCCACAACAGGCCCTTGTGTGTGTTCTTCCCGTCTATGTCTATGTGTCCATGTGTTCTCATCATTTGCCTCCCAATGATAAGTGACAACATGTGGTGTTTGGTTTTCTGTTGCTGCATTACTTTGCTGAGAATAATGGCTTCCAATTCTATCCATGTCCCTGCAAAGGACATGATCTCATTCCTTTTTAAGGCTGCATAGTATTCCATGGTTTATATGTACATTTTCTTTATCCAGTCTATCATTTCATGGGCATTTAGGTTGATTCCATGTCTTTGCTATTGTGAATGGTGCTACAATGGCTGCAATGAACATACACAGGCATGCATCTTTGTAATAGAATAATGTACATTTCTTTGGTAAATACCCAGTAATGAGATTGCTGGGTCAAATGGTATTTCTGCTTCTAGGTTTTGAGAAGCCACAACACTGTCTCCCTCAATGATTAAATTAATTTACACTCCCACTAATAGTGTAAAAGTGCTCCTTTTTATCTACAACCTCACCAGCATCGGTTGTTTCTGGATTTTTTAACAATAACCATTCTGACTGGTATGAGATGGTATCTCATTGTGGTTTTGATTGGCATTTCTCTAATAATTAGTGATGTTGAGCTTCTTTTATGTTTGTTGAATGCATGTATGTCTTCTTTTGAGAAGTGTCTGTTCATATCCTTTGCCCACTTTTTAAAATGGGTTTGTTTTTTCTTGTAAATTTGTTTAAGTTCCTTGCAGACTCTGGATGTTAGACCTTTGTCAGATGAATATATTGCAAACATTTTCTGTAGGTTGTCTGTTCAATTTGATGTTTTTTTTTTTTGTTTTTTGTTTTTTGTTTTTTTGTAGTGCAGAAGCTCTTTAGTTTAATTGTATCCCATTTGTCAATTTTTCCTTTTCTTGCAATTGCTTTTGGTGTTTTCACTATAAAATCTTTGTCTGTGCCTATGTCCTGAATGGTGTTGCCTAGCTTTCTTCAAGGGCTTTTATATTTTGGATTTTACATTTAAGTCTTTAAACCATCTTGAGTTAATTTTTGTATATGGTGTAAGGAATGTGTCTAGTTTCAATTTTTGGCATATGGCTAGCCAGTTCTCCCAGCACCATTATTAAACAGGGAATCCTGGACAATAGGTGAAAATGGCAGATAGGCTGGACTAACTTGCAACTCCCACTCAGCTGAACAGAGCAACATATGGAGGCTCACATCATGCACTTTTGCTCCAAGAAATACTACATGAACATACCAGGAAAGCCAAGAGAATCCGTAGACACTTTGAAGGAAGCTACTTACCTCTGCAGGCTTTGTGAGACAGCTGAAAACTGTGAGAGCCCAAAGGGTTCTCCCCCAATGGATGAGGGGGGACATCTGTCCCCAAAAACACATCCTTACTGGGGAACCTGAAGGTCCAGATCACAGGAGAAGGATTAGATCTTACCTTGAGCTGAGACGAATTTAGAGAGTCAAGTGAAATATAGGACTAAAGGAAGCAGTGGGAAAAGCCCTGTAGGCACTCTTGGTCCCAAGGGATGCCATTTCTGACTTCATCTCACAGGGGTCCTCGGGGTGGGCTGCCAGTAGAATTGGGGAAAGACGACAGGAAGAAGGAAACTTCCAGTTGAACTATGTAACAATTTCAAAAGAACCCAACGTTTCCTGGACAGAATCTGGGACAGGGGAAAACCTGGAGTGTGGATAGCAGCACAGAAACTGCAGTAGGTAGGGAGAGGTAAAACCTGAAAGCCCTGCTTGCTTTCTCAGCAGGGAGGCATGTAGCCTAGAGCAAGTTGTTCTCAGCCCTGCTCACTGGCTGCCTGGAAATAAACTCAATGCTGTTGACGGGAGTTGGGGGTGGGGGAGCATATTGGGAGAGAGACTGGCCTTTTGGGCTGCATGAGAGCTGGGTGAAGCCTGTCACTGCTGGCTTTCCCTCACTCCCCTGGTGACCTGTGTCATATAGCAGAGGCAGTCATAATTACCCTGGAAACATAACTCCATTGGCTTGAGAACCACACCCTCATCCTCCACAGTGGCCACAGCAAGCTCAAGAAGAGTCTGAGCTCAGAGAGTCCTAATCCTGCCCCACCTGATGTTCTTTTTCTATGTGCCCTGGTAGCGGAAGACAAAGGACACAATCCCCTGGGATCTCTATGGTCCCACCCACTGCCTGAGAAACCTGAATGTTTATTCAGGTGACCTTAGGGCAAGCTCGTATTCTCCCTATAGTACTATAGCTGATGCTCTAGGGGCCAAAAAACACAAAGCCAGTGCATTAAACAAAACCACAAACAAGGACACTCACAGAGTCAATTTTATTCCCCTGCTACCTCTACCAGAGCAGGTGCTGGTATCTATGGCTGAGAGACCTGAAGATGGATCACATCACAGCACTCTTTGCAGATACCCCTTAGTACCAGCCTGAAGCCTGGTAGTTCTGCTGGGTGGCTAGACCCAGAAGAGAAATATCAATCACTGCAGTCTGGTTCTCAGGAAACCTCATCCTTAGGGGAAAGGGGAGAGCACCACATCAAGGGAGCACCTTGCGAGACAAAAGAATCTGATTAGCAGCTCTTGAGCCCCAGATATTCCCACTGACATAGTCTACCCAAATGAGAGGGAACCAGAAAAACAATTCTGATGATATGACAAAACAAAGGTATTTAACACCCTCAAATGATCACACTAACTCACCAGTAATGGATCCAAACCAAGGCAAAATATCTGAATTGCCAGAAAAAGAATTCAGAAAGTCAATTATTAAGCTACTCAAGGAGGCACCAGAGAAAGGTGAAGTCTATCTTAAATAAATAAAAATACAGGACATGAATGAAAAAATCTCCAGTGAAATAGATAGCATAAATAAAAAACAATCATAACTGGAAATCAATGACACACTTAGAGAAAGGTTAAAATGCACTGGAGATTCTAATCAATAGAATTGAACAAGTAGAATAAAGAATTTCAGAGCTTAAAAACTAGGCTTTCAAGTTAACCCAATCAACAAAAAAAAAAAAATCAAAAAGAATGAACAAAGCCTCCTAGAAGTTTGAGATTATGTTAAATGAGCAAACCCAAGAATAATCGGCATTCTTGAGAAAGCAGAGAAATCTGAAAGTTTGGAAAACATATTTGAGGGAATAATTGAGGAAAACTTCCCAGGCCTTGCTAGAGATCTAGATGTTCAAATACAAAAAGCTTAAAGAACACCCAGGAAATTCATTGCAAAAAGATCATAACCTATGCACATAGTCATCAGGTTATCGAAAGTCAAGACAAAGAAGAGAATATTAATTATGAGGAAAAGCATCAGGTAACCTATAAAGGAAAACCGAGATTAACAGCAGATTTCTCAGCAGAAACCCTAGAAGTTAGAAGGGATTGAGTCCTATCTTTGGCCTCCTTAAAAAACAATTACCAGCCAAAAATTTTGTATCCAGCAAAACTAAACACCATAAATGAAGGAAAGATACAGTCTTTTTCAGACAAACAATTGCTGAGAGAACCCACCACTACCAAGCCAACACTACAAGAATTGCTAAAAGGAGCTCTAAATCTTGAAACAAATATTTGACATACACCAAAATAGAACCTTCTTAAAGCATAAATCTCACAGGACCTACAAAACAATAACACAATGGAAAAAAAGGTATACCACAATGAACAGAATAGTACCTCACATCTCAATATTAACGATGAATGTAAATGGCCTAAATGCTTCACTTAAAAGATACAGAATGGCAGATTGGATAAGAGTTCACCAACCAAGTATCTGCTGTCTTCAAGAGACTCACCTAACAAATAAGGACTCCAGTAAACTTAAGGTATAGGGGTGGAAAAAGATATTCCATGCAAATGGACAACTAAAGCAAGCAAGAATAGCTATTCTTATATCAGACAAAACAGACTTTAAAGCAACAACAGTTAAAAAGACAAAGAGGGACATTGTATAATGATAAGGGATGAGTACAACAAGAAAATATCACAATCCTAAATACATATGCACCTAACACTGGAGCTCCCAAATTTATAAAACAATTACTACTAGACCTAAATGAGGAGGACAGCAACACAATACTAGTAGGGAACTTCAGTACTCTACTGACAGCACCAGACAGGTCATCAAGACAGAAAGTCAACAAAGAAACAATGGACTTATACTATACCCTAGAACAAATTGACTCAACATATTTACAGAAAATTCTACCCAGCAACTGCAGAATATACATTCTATTCATCTGCAGACAGAACATTCTCCAAGGCAGTTCATATGATAGGCCACAAAACAAGTCTCAATATTTAAGAAAATCAAAATTATGGACTCTCTCAGACCACATTGGAATAAAATTAGAAATAAACTTCAAAAGGAACTCTCAAAACCATGCAAATACATGGAAATTAAACAACCTGCTCCTGAATAATTATTGGGCCAATAATAAAATCAAGATGGAAATTAAAGATTCTTTGAACTGAATGACAATCATGACACAACCCATCAAATCATCTGGAATACAGCAAAAGCAATCCTAAGAGGCAATTTCATAGCATTAAATGCCTACATCAAAAAGTCCAAAAGAGCACAAATAGACAATCTAAGCTCACACTTGAAGAAACTAGAGAAACAAGAACAAACCAAACCCAAACCCAGCAGAAGAAAATAAATAACAAAGAGAAGAGCAGAACTAAAAGAAATTGAAACAAACAAACAAAATACAAATGGGAAATGAAACAAGAAGCTGGTTTTTAAAAGATAAACAAAATTGTCAGACTGTTAGTGAGATTAACCAAGAAAAGAAGAGAAAAAATCCAAATAAGCTCAATTAGAAATGAAACTGGGAATATTACAATTGATACCACAGAAATACAAATGATCACTCAAGGCTACTGTGAATAGCTTTATGCACATAAACTAGAAAACCTAAAGGAGACAGATAAATTCGTGAACATATAAAACCCTCCTAGGTTTAACCAGGAAGAAATAGAAACTCTGAACAGACCAATAACAAGCAGCAAGATGGAAATGGTAATTAAAAAATTGCCAATAAAAAAGTCCAGGAGTGGGCAAATTCACAGCTGAATTCTATCAGACATTTGAACAAGAATTGTACTAATCCTATTGAAAATATTCCAAAAGATAGAGAAAGAGGGAATCCTCCCTAAATCATTCTATGAAGCCAGTATCACCTTAATACCAAACCTAAAAAAGGACATAACTAAAATAGAAAACTACAGACCAATATCCCTGATGAACATAAATGCAAAAATCTTTAACCAAATGCTAGCTAAATGAATCCAACAGCATATCAAGAAGATAATCCACCATAATCAAGTGAGTTTCATACCAGCAATGTAGGGATAGTTTAACATGCACAAGTGAATAAATGTGATATACCGCATAAACAGAAATAAAAACAAAAATCACATGATCATCTCAATAGATGAAGAAAACACAAAATACAGCATCGCTTTATGATTAAAATCCTTAGCAAAATTGGCAAAGAAGGGATATAGCTTGAGGTAATAAAAGCTGTCTATGATAAACACACAACCAACATTATAGTGAATGGGGAAAAGTTGAGCTCATTCTCCATGAGAACTGGAACAAGACAAGGATGTCCATTTTCACTATGTTTATTCAACATAGAACTGAAGGTCCTAGAGAGGAATTAGACAAGAGAAAGAAATAAAGGGCATTCAAATCAGTAAAGAGGGTGTCAAATTGTCATTGTTTGCTGACGATATGATGATATACATAGAAAACCCTAAAGACTCATTTGAAAAGCTCCTAAAACTGATAAATAAATTCAGTAAAGTTTCAGGGTACAAAATATACAGAAATCAATAGCGCTGCTATACACCAACAGTGAACAAGCCAAGAATCATATCAAGAACTCAACCCTTTTTACAATAGCCACAAATAAAATACTTATGAATATACCTAAACAAGGAGATAAAATACCTCAAGGAAAACTAAAAAAGCACTGTTCAAAGAAATCACAGATGACACAAACACATGAACAAATGAAAACACATCCCATGCTCAAGGATGGGTAGAGTCTGTACTGTGAAAATGAACATACTGCCAAAAGCAATCTACAAATTCAAAGCAATTCCTATCAAAATACCACCATCATTCTTAAGAAAACTAGAAAACAAATTCTAAAATCATGTAGAACTAAAAAAGAGCCTGCATATCCAAAGAAAGACTAAGCAAAAAGAGCAAATCTGGAGGCATTACATTACCTGACTTCAAACTATACTATATGGCTATAGTCACCCAAACGGCATGGTACTGGTATAAAAATAGGCATATAGACAAATGGAACAGCATAGAGAACCCATAAATAAAGCCAAATACTTACAGTCAACAGATCTTTGACAAAGCAAACAAAAACATAAAGTCAAGGAAAGGACCCCTATTCAACAAATGGTGCTGGAATAACTGGCAAGCCACATGTGGAAGAATGAAACTGGATTCTCATATCTCACCCTATACAAATGTCAACTCAAGATCGATTAAAGACTTAAAACTAAGACATGAAACAATAAAAATTCTAGAAGCTAACATTGAGAAAACCCTTCTAGACATTGGCTTAGGCAAAGACTTCATGACCAAAAGCAAATGCAACATAAACAAGGATAAATAGAAGGGATTTAATTAGACTAAAATGTTTCTGTACAGCAAAACAAAATAATCAGCAGAGTAAACAGACAACTCAGTTTCGGGGAAAATATTCATCAAATATGCATGTGACAAAGGACTAATATTCAGAAACTGTGGGAACTCAAACAAGTCAGCAAGAAAAAAAAACGATCCCATCAAAAAGTGGGCTAAGGATATGAAAAAACAGTTCTTAAAAGAGGATACACAAGTGGCCAACAAACATGAAAAATGCTCAGCATCACTAATTATCAGGACAATGCAAATCAAAACTACAATGCAATACCACTTTATTTCTTCAAAAATGTCCTTAATCAAAATCTCAAAACATAATAGATGTTGACATGGATGTGGTGAAAGGGAGCAATTTTACACTGCTACTGGGAATGTAAACTAATACAACCACTATGGAAAACTGTGTGGAGATTCCTTACAGAACTGAAAGTAGATCTACTATTTGATCCAGCAATCCTACTACTGGGTATCTGCCCAGAGAAAAAGAAGTCGTTATATGAAAAAGACACTTGCACATGCCCAGAAAGCTGAAGCTGTAGTGAGCCCCCATCATGCCACTGCACTCCAACCTGGGTGACAGAACAAGATCCTGTCTCCAAAAAAGAAAAAGAAAAAGAAAATAATTACCTGAATTTCAGGTTTTATATTTTTTTCTTATATATTTAATGACCAACATGTTATCGTCTTCCACAATGAATATGACTGTTTGAAAAATGTAAAAATATAACAGTGAAAACTATTATTTGATATAAAAGGAAAACAATATGATAAAATACAATGAAGCAAATCAGAGTTTTATAAGCAAGCCTAACACTTTGTTTACATTATGGATTTAGCCACACATCTGTGCTCAGTTTACTAACAGAACAAAATATAAACAAACTTCTCAATTTTATTTTAAAAAGTCAGTTACTAATAAGTAATGACTCAATTCCCATACATTGAGATTGAGGAATTATGGGAATATATACTCAGTTATGAATAATGAATTCTTTTGTTAGTGAAGAAATGCAAAATAAAGTTCAGAGTTATGTAATGTTAATATTCTCTATGAAAATCTCTCTCACTTTTTACATTAATATGGTACTAAGTTCCATAAACTTAACTATTGCTTTGGATACTGCTATTATTATCAGCTAATCTGAAAATTGTGTGTGTGTGTATGTGTGTGTGTGTGTGTACATTTTGAGTGTACTTATGATGAGTTTACTTTTCTAATATTACTTGACAAAATTTTGCAATGTTTTAAATACATTCATAAAAATCGAATTCCCAGTAACAATAAACTTAAGGCAGAGTTATTTTCTACCTAATAATTATAGTCATTTATTTCATATTTGTTTGAAATATGAAATATTCAAATGAAATAAATGACTTCTTCTAAAGGGTAAATACAAGAAAGACAAAACACCATTTTCTGTGAATGGCATACCTAGGTAGTTAAATATAATTCTATTCAATAAACACATCCTAAGGAAGTAGGTTAAAAGCTTTAAGATGATAAAAATATGGTTTCCACCTTTAAAGATACTATGAATATGAACTAGCCGACAGGTCAGGAAAAGTAACATTGGACATGAAACTTGGAAAATGCATGAGAATTTAGCAAAGACAGACAAAAGGAAATAATATAAGCTCCTCCATGTAGACAGACATATTCACCTGTCTTATTTACTCCTGTGTGTATGGAACAGTGCTGAGAAACCAGTTGATTCTCCATTAATAACTATTTACTAAATTTGAAACATTCCAGAAAGCAGGCTTTCTAAGCAGGGGACACATAAAAGATTTATGTATAATTTTTATGTATTCTCAAAAAATATCCAATTGCTTCCACATTGTAATTTTTTACAACTATACTGAAGAGGTCAAGTAACTTACCTTTTATTTAATAACCTTTATGTTTCCTTAACATGCTAATTGTCTTGAAGAGTGCATGAAAAATAACTTATAATTGTACACAGGTTAAAGAAAAAAACGAATAGAGATCACAATGGAAATTTAGCAAACTACATATCCTATTTATTTAGCTTTAACTCTCTAGCTTTTGCTATGAGGTCTATGTGTAACACATCTGTTTTGTAGTAGACCAAATTATTTCTTATACAGAATTCACAGATATATTGGAAACCATAAAAACCTATACTTTCATTTCTAGTTTAAAATGTCATCTGTCTAAGCAGCCCTTGAAACAACCTCCTCCACCTTTTTCACTAAAGTCATTAGGTAGAGACTTGAAAAGATGAAATTGCACAACACTATGAACTGGGACTCACTGTCAACTTATTGTCAGAATATGAGAGGAATTTCCATTAAATACAAGGCCAATGGGAGTGGATTAAATATATAATCAGTATGATGCTGCTGGTGTGCTTGCCTGCTGGAAAGTAGATAGATCTTTATTTCTTCCCTTTTCCTCTAATCTTTGGACCAGAAACAAAATCTGAACCAAGAAGAACATTGGATAGCCATCCTTCTACTGACTGCATGCTAAATTTTAGGCAGTTACATGGTTTCCCATAACCCCCTCCCTGACCTTGACCCCTAATAATATATCTCATTCTTTATCCATTCAGATATTATGATTTAAACAACAACAACAAAATTGGATTAAGGGAAGGAAGGGTTTATTTGATATTATTTGAATTCTGATAATATGATTCCCATAACTAGAGTACTAACTGAGGAGGGTGAAATCAAGGAAAACTCTAATAGAGTTATTTTCTGCATTAAGTAATTTGTTTAATATTCTCCATCTCCTAAGAGCATTAGACATGTTTAATGTGGTTTCACCCACATCAACAGGTGAAAACATAGTAGATAAATGGCAGGAAAATACTGGAAATCAGTCTGGGAATTATGCATACTAAGATCTATAGCTTTATATATTTATACATACAAGTTGTTTGGATGTGATATCTCCCCTTACAACAATGGACAAATATGAATAACAACATTAATGATAACTTTGATCTAAAATGCCTCTCCCTTTCCCCTACCCCATCTCACGTGAAGTCACTCAATTACCTATTATCCTGCATTATTTTCTTCATTGTGCCTATTACCTATGAACTGTGATTTATTTATTTTTCTCTTTGTTAGTAGTGGTCTTGATGAACAGATTATATGCTCAGAGAGCACTGGGTCCTTCATCTGTTTTGTTCCTTGTTCTGTGTCCACATTTAGAAAAGTATCTGAGACCTAATAGGGGCTTGGCAAGCATCTACCAAATGAAATAGTGAAAGACAGAATGAATAAATTCTGAGAATTCAGCAGAAGGAGCCTCATTGAAATGATCTATTCTAAGACTACATGATAAAATTTTTGACAATTTAGCATCCTTAATAGGATACAAAACCATGACACCTATGGAAGTGGAATAGGAAGCCTAGAACAACTGGTTAAAAAACAACAACAACAAAGAACATAAGTTGAAGGGTTATTGAGAGGAAAAGATTGAAGGAAAGACACCAAAAAATGAGTATGTTTGCAATTATCTCCTGCAAGCGTTAGATCATGAGGTTAACTTATACCTACCAGCATTACTGGGATTTCTAGTGTTTTTCTAACAAATATTCAGATTGTAGTGCATATAAATGCTGGAAGAAAAGTAATCAATGCTTCAAAATTTTTGAATGGAGGCAGTCATGTTTCCAAAATTTTACATCAGAAAATTTTATTTTTATTTATATCTACAGTCCCATACATACAATGCAGAAAATATTCTACTCAAATTCTCTTATTCTTCAAAACAAGAATATTTACAAATATTGCCAGGGGTTCTTAGAATAAACAAAATCTACAAGTCAAATCTGGAAAGTTTCAACAATTGATATATTAAATGATATTAAATTGGTTATAGAAGTGCTCAGATGTTTAGGGAAAACAATGCTTTACACAATCTGCTACTGCTGCTAGCACAGAGACTTCTCCACCCCTCGCCGTGAACCAGGTTTGCCACCACTGAAAACCTGGGGCCATTACAGCTACCTCTGCCGCCACTGAATACTGATAATCTGCTCCCTATTATGCCAGAAAAAATGAACATTTCAGAAGAACCTATTGCATCTTATTGCTCACTTCTGAATTAAATACTTATGTGGGTGTTCTTTTTGGGAAACTAAGTAACACATATACAATTTAATTGTAAAAGAGAATGGGTAATAGGCTCTGACTTCTTTGTGAGCAGCAGCACGTGTGATTCAATACATAGGTCTGGCCTCAAATATAAAAAGGCTATTCAAAAGATGAAGAGCAGTCATGAATATGGAAAACACCCATGATGGCAACAAAAACAACAAAATACATGGGGAAACCCCATCTCTACTAAAAAAATACAAAAATCAGCGGGGCATGGTGGCGAGTGTCTGTAATCTCAGCTACTCAGGAGGCTGAAGCTGCAGAATCGCTTGAACCCAGGAGTTGGAGGTTGCAGTCAGCCGAAATAATAATAAAATAACAAAGGAAAGCAAACTGACCAACCTACCAAACAACCACTGAGAACTAAACACAAGACTTGTTCCTGTTGATAGAGACATGAAGAATGGGCGAGTCAGGGTACACTATAATCTCATCTTTTGGGTTGAACTATAAATTTAGGAATACTGAAGGATTATGTATTCTCATTATGGACTGCATAACCAGGGAATAAACGTTAGACCTGCACTGCTTTTTAAAGCTTTTTTTTCTTTTTTTTCTTTCCAGCCTGCAATATCCTGGAAATTAGAAAATACAAGTCTTGCATCACTTCTTTCAATCAATAATTTAGAATGAATTTATTCTTATGATTAGTAACATCTGAAAACTATAATGAATCCCTCCATAACTTGCTAAAAGTGATTAAACAATTGACTTGTTTGGGAAAACAGTGCTAGGAGAATTACTGAACAAAAGGTTCAGGTGCTAGGAGAATTATTGTACAAAAGTTTTTTCATCTCCAGAAATGCAGTAGTGCATAGAGCAACATAATTGCCTTTTGCATTTCCAAGGAACTTGAGTAATTATTTTCCCCCCTTTAAAGCTCTTGAGTATTCAATTATTTGGTTTAAAAATATGCGAAATGGCAACTATACAGTGGCAGTTATTATCTGCTATCAAATGTTTTGTTATAGCAAAACTTACCACTCATTCACCTCTTCGAAGGAATAATGTTAATTTACAGTGGTCATTTTGTAAATAAACAACATTTTAAAAAGTTTCTAAAATTCTATTCTCAACTCTTTAAAAAGCAACATAAAATAATTACAGAAATTATATTCAAATATCCAATTTCCCAACATATTATACATTATATTTTAAAAATCCAAATAACACCGAGTAGTTGGAAATGGTTATTTCTGTTTTAGTTATTATTAAAAACATAACATTAATGTAATTTAAACTGCATAAATAAAAAGCACATAGAAGACAAGATTAAAAAATATTTATAGTAGTTATTTAATATGGAAAGGCTCTGTTTCTTTTCATATAATGTATGAATATGTGGATAGATATATATATATATACACATATAAAATCATTATTTTAATTTCAATATACCATTAGAACAGAAAAACCTATCAAAACAACAATCTTAAATAACCAAGATTATTTTATTATTTCTAGAAAATCAATGAATTTGGACCCTTTTAGAATACAAAATCTATTGACCAAAAATATTATTTTCTACTTGGTGCTCTGTGGTGAGCCATTACATTTTGAGAGTAGTAAGTAATTAGGAAGACAAGAACAAAATATGAAAGAGAATGATAGGTAAGATTTTCATCCTCCAACTATTATTTTTGTGTTTTTATATAATATATTGTTAGGTTTTTTTATAAAAAGTGTGTAATGCATTGGGAATTTGAATGCAAATATTATTTTTCAGATTACTTACATTCTTTTTGAAAACATGAGATTAAAATTTTAGAAATAATGCTGTTTATTTTCAAAATGACCACTGCAAATAACTTCTTTTTCTTAAAGCAGTAGAAAATAGGAGATAATAATACATCTATCATATTTTATTTGCAGGACTAAAAAAGTCAATGTATATAAAGCACTTAGCAAAAATCCTAGCACTTAGTAAATAATCAATACATAGATTTATTATTAATGTTATTTGTAATAGTATCAACATTAGTGTACATGTCTAACTTTTAAATTCATTTGTAAATATGAATATATAGGTAAATGATAAGAGGAACCTAGAACAATTTAGAATACTTATTTTCTTAAACTGAAATATAGAGCAGAGAAAAAAATGTGAGTGTTTAACCTCTGAATTTTTGAATTGTAAATATTTATTTTATATTCCAGAAGACAGATTTGTAAAAAAAAAAAAAAAGTTTGTTACTATTAGCAACTTGTAAATAATAATATATATATTAAGAATTCGGAATATTAATTTTTATGCACTCAGTGTTTTTTTTTAATTAGATTTGGTTTCAACTGCCTGAACAATATGACACTTGATTTATATAAACATATTTGTTTTTCTATTTAAACTTCATCTGCTTTTGAAATCTTATTGTAATATACAGCAATGCTTTATTATTTTACATTTCTTGTAATCCTAGTAAAGCATTTCATATATGTTATTAAATGTGCCCATTTTACCTGTTCTCTTCAATTTATGCTTATTAAATACAAATATTTCGTCAGCTCAATCCTTTTTCTACTTAGTACCTACTGGGCATCTGAAATAAAAATCTATTTTTACAAATGAATTTTAGAAGTTAGTATTTTGACAAGCTTGTCCTCAAATATCAAATATCTCACAATCTTGACAAACAAACAAAAGAAGAAATAGACAAATTAGATTTTTAAAAAATTAAAATTTTTGTGTATCAAAGGAGACTATCAACAGAGTAAAAAGGCAATCCACAGAATGGGAGAGAAAATTACAAATCACGTATCTAATAAGAGATTAATATCCAGAATATATGAAGAACTCCTAAAACTCAACAACAACAAAAAACTCATTCAAATATGGGCAGAAAATCTGAATAGACATTTCTCCAAAAGAGATATGCAAATGTCAATAAGCACATGAAAAGACACTCAATCACTAATCATTAGGGAAATGCCAATACAAAATAAATTGAGATGCTATTTTATGCCCATTAGGATGATTATTATCACACAAACATGAAATAACAAGTGTTAATGTGAATGTGGAGAAACTGGACCCTAGTGCACTGATGGTGGGAATCTAAAATGCCACAGCCGTTATGGAAACTAGTATGGCAGTCCCTCAAAACATTAAAAATAGGATTACTGTGTGATCCAACAATTCCACTTCAGGATATTTACCCAAAATAACTGAAATCAGGAACATGGAAACATATTTGTACACCCATGTTCATAGCAATGTTTTTTCACAGTAGCTAGAAGGTGAAATCAACCCAAGGTGTCCATATATGGATGATAAACAAAATGTAGTGTATGTACACACACACACACACGTGTACACACACACACGTGTGTACACACACACACGCACACACACAATGAAATATTATTTAGTCTTAAAAGGGAAAGAAATTCTAACACATGCTACAACATCACTGAACCTTGAAGACCTTATGCTAAGTGAAATAAGCCAATCACAAAATGGCAAATACTGTATGATTCTACTCATTTGAGGTACTTATATTAGTCAGATTAATAAAGAAAGACCATATAATTGTGGCTGCTAGAGGCAGTGAGGGAGGATGAGGAGTTGTTATTTGATGAGTATAGAGTTTCAGTTTTGCAAAAGGACAAAAGTTCTGAAGATAGATAGTGGTAACGGTTGTACAATAATGACAATGTACTTAATATCACTGAACTGTACACATAAAACATAATAACCAAAAGGATAAATTTTGTTACATGTATTTTACCACAATTTAAACAAATATGTATTTTTTCAAAAGCATAGCTTAAAGAATTTGTGATTAAATTTTTGTTCCAAAATTAATCAAACAAGAATTTTTGGATGTCTAATTTGAATATGTGACTATTTGGTTGACATTACAAATGGTTAAAATTTAATAATCTGTTTTTCTTAAAGGGGGGTTGTATATATCCATACAACAGAATTTCAGCAAATTTGCTGCCAGCTCTGTAAAGTGTTCAAATTTAAAAATTGTTTAAATTAAAATTTAATTCAATTCAAGTAAAATATTTAAATTAAAATAGTTTAAAGGGTTTACATTCAAAAATTAAGGAAGAAAACCATTTATGGTTTGTAGCAAACCTATAAAATGTAAGGGCCAAATATGACCTTGCCTGGAAACTTAATTATTGTACATTTTTATTTTATGTATTCCAAATTACTTTCTTAGGCAATCTAAAGAGTGTTTGAAGAAAAAAATAATCTCATGGGCCAAAGTAAATAATACTGAATAATTAAACAGAAAACACTAATATCTTTTTCTTTTCCCTTTCCCCTTTCTTTTCACTTCACTTCTTCTTTCCCCTGCTCTCCTCTCCTTTCCTTTTTTTTTTTTTCTCTTCTCTCCTTTTCTTTTCTTCCCTTTTTTCCTTTCTATTTCTTATTTTGTTTTCCTTGAGACACTCTCGCTCTGTGGCCCAAGCTGGAGTTCAGTGGCTCTATCATAGCTCATCACAGCCTGGAACTCCCGGGCTCAAGAGATACTCCTGCATCAGCCTCCAGAGTAGCTGTCACTACAGACGCATGTCACCACGCCCAGCCAATTACTTTTTTCTTTTAAACGTGATTGTTAGAATGCAAGTTCCCAAAGTACAGGGATTTTTGTTTTCTTTATTGTTGTAAATCAAGCACCTAAAATGCTGCCTGACACCAAATAATCACTCAATAATTACTTTTTAAATAGATGAATTTTTTTACCTTTAAAGATGAGATTTTATTACTTTTTTTTCTCTATTTTGGTTGAAGGTTATAGTTTCTTTGGAACTTTCATTAATGTTGAATCATCAACCCTTTAGCATATGAATATATGGCATTTATTTTTGACTTAGACCTATCTTCATCTTCCTTTAAAATGTATTTAGAACCATGTCTTACAAATGGGCTATTCAGAAATTGAGAAACCATTTTGTAGATATTATAGACTATTTCCTTGTAAGTGTTTTCACTTTCCTGTCTTCAAAATATGAGACTGTGGTTCACTTGTCTCTTCATCCTAGCTCAAAAAAAGTTTTATAATCAGGTATAAAATATTGCTTTTGTATAAATAATGTGTGTGAAATATTATAGAACATGAAGCAATATGGGTTAAAGGCACCCACACTTGAATAAGTAGAATATAAGGTTAAAATGATGATGTGGAATAAATTGTACATAATTTTTAGGTAAACCCAACATCATTATGTCCTTTACAGATAGAGAAAGCCAAATAATATGAGAAAAAAAATTTAACATTCTGGTTATATAGATAATTATGCATAAAATTAATTATAGGTATTGATGACTACTGGCATATAGATGCTGGCTTTTGGCAGAATATTTAATCTCTGTAATTCTTAATTTTTTCTCCAAGTTCTTTCAACAAATTCACAGATAAATCCATGTACATGACCCAGGTTTCAAGTTGTCATCTTATGAACACTGACTCTGTCCCCCAATCTCTGAACACTTGGCCAAGTTTATCTGTATTCCCACACTTCTCTCATATTTAAAATAGAAATTAATAGTCACCTAGAGTCCCGTATGGAGGCTCTTGCCTATAATCCCAACACTTTGGGAGGCTGAGGCAGGAAGATTCCATGAACCCAGGAGTTCAAGACCAGCTTGGGCAACATGGTAAGACACTGTCTCAACATAAAATAAAAAAATTAAAAACAAAAAAAATAGCCAGGTGTGGTGTGCACCTTCAGTCCCAGCTACTCGGGAGACCGAGGTGAGAGGATCAGGAGCCCAGAAGTTCCAAGCAGCAAACAAGCCATGTTTGCATCACTGCACTCCAGCCTGGGTGATAGAACTAGACACTGTCTCAAAAAAAAAAAGAAAAAAAATCACCTAGCACATACGTTGTTGAAAAGGTTAAATATTTTAATACTAACAAAGAGTTAATAAACTGCCTGATATATGAGAAATGCTCAATATAGGTTTATGATTAATTTTATCATTATTATAAGAGTAATTCTTTATTGTCTATATTACATTTTTCTATATTTATAGTCTTTATATTATATAAAATCAACCAATAATATAGAACTGCACCAGAGACCATAATTTATTATATAGCTTCCAAAAGGAAAACTTTATATCAGTGCAATCTTTCTGCTTTGTAATATTAGCCATAATTATTAGTATAAAGTTTCTGACTTTTCACTGCAATAATATGCATTTATAAGAAAATCATATAAAATGCTCGTATGTATAGTGTCTATAAAACCAAAGAGATCCGGGCTTGTAAGTCTTTTGCAATTATCACAGATTATATCATGCAGAATATTTCTTCCGTATTTTATAGCACCTAAAGTAAATGACACTGAGCTAACTACCCTGTAGGTGATTAATACATGTTTCTTTTAAAATGTTTCCTGTCACCATTTAAATCTAAATGGCAATAGATTGTTAAAATGCAAATTTTAAGTTCATGGGTCATACCACACACATGGCGTGAGTGTTGAGGTTCTACACTTCCGGCAAACTTTCCCAGATGCTCTATGTACCTGTAATCTACACAGTAAAGATGCATTTGAAGCTACAACTCCTGCTCTCAAAGTAATTTGCTAGAATTGGGAGCAGAGATTATTATCATTAATCTGTGTCCTTTCTAGGAGTGGACCTTTTCTTGGAATGTTTTCCATTATATTCTTCACTGTGACTGTGCTAAAATAATATAAAAATTCAATAATGAGATGGTTGAGGCTTCCTGCATCTGGTTACACAATTTTCATGACCACAACGAAGACCCTAAAAATAAACAATAGTTTGGACAGTTTTCCCTGTGGAAGTGCCAAAAAATGTGCATTAGGGGAAAGTAAGACAAACGGAATATTTCTTAATATGTCTGTAGATATTGGCTGTTAGCAACGCTTTATCACTAACTGTTGTGACTTGTGTGCTTTCCTGTCACTCTATGTTGCTCTCATTATGTTATTAAAAAGAACCACCTTTATTGGGGGAATTTGGAGTGGTATTTGAATCAAATATTTCCATGTATTGTATTCATTGCTTACCCAATTGAAAAGTTTAGTTTCTCCATGATTTTCTTTCAAATAAATAAATAAGTTCTAAGTCAACAAGTTTTTCCTGTGCTGCATAGATGAGAACATCTATATATCGTAAAATTGAAGAATATAGGGAACTGTTTTTTATAGTTATATTTTATATGTTCTTTATTCTACATAAAAAGAGTAATACAAATATGAAAGAAAGTTGATGTTCATAAAAATATAGAGATAAATAAATCATTTTTGATAGAAATATATCATTATATTAAGAAGATAATTTTTGAGAAAAAAAGAAAAATTATTTTCTAATTATCCATGCAGTTTGAACACTTCAATAACCATTTGATAGTTAATTAAAAACTACATTTTGTCTTGGTTTTCAAGCAAAACTCAGAACTATTTAATAAATAATTACAATAGGCATTTAGTTAATAAAAAATTGAAGGATCTATTAACTCTGGGCTTGTATAATAAAAATAAACTTCTTACAATATATTGTAAGCCTTTATCAAAATACGGAGGTATACTAATTTCAATTACATTATACTATTAGTGTTTATAGGATTTGCTATTATTAGGAATTTAGAGAATAGTTTCATTAACACAATTTTAAAACTATAGTTTTTTTGGTATTCATGCAAAAATAATCTGGAAAATGTATATATGTTGTTTTTAGCTGGAATAGAGCAACGTACTTCTTTTTCTTTATCCTCTTTTTTTCTTTGATAAATGACTCAGAGTTGGCCTCAGCAAAAAGATACCAGATTTTAAAATTTATTATTGCCAATAGTATGTGTGGCCTTTACTTTAACTGCATCTTGGCTGTCAGTAATAATCCAAGGCTGTACTTCCAATGATAAAATGAAAAACTTTGCATATTGAATCTCCCAGTCTCCTTGAAAGTGTTCAGCTATCACAGTCATTTATTCCCATTGTCAGAGCAAGGTCCATTATAAAAGCCCATTCATCTTTACTTGAAGATGAAGAGTGGAGCAACTCCACTTCTGCCTTGAATCAAGTACTAACTACTTCAGGGCTCTCAGATATATTAATTCATTGAATTGCTGTAGGTCTAAGATTCTCTCACTCTTTTTGCTTGGGGCATTGGTTCTTTAAGAGTTCGCTTCACCTTTATAATGCACAATTTCTGTGCCAGGTAAAATAACACTTTGTCATACACTTGGGAGTCTCTTTTTAACTGGGCTTTTTGTTCAAATTTTTTTCAGATTAAACTGACATGCTAGACTACTAGTAGAATTTTGTAAAAAGCTTGCTTTGCCTATATAGAGTAGTAATACCTAAAGGAATACTAATAAAAATTCATTAAAAATATCCTAATACATTTTATTTTTGATGTAAACAATTTTTGATTTATTAATAATTCTTATAAAATACATTTTTATATTCTTATTAATTGGCCAAAAATATCTGAAAACTGCATTGGACAACTAATAAGATAATGTAGTAAATACAGAATAAAAATAATAAATACTATGATACACAAATGATTAGTTGATATTTTTGCTCCAACCTCCAATTCAGAAAAATATCACAACTGAATAGTCTGACATGCAAAATTCTGCTTCCTAAATACCTTCAGGCAAAGAACTTTATTTTGCTTTTTTACCCCTTACTCCACAGAAAAACTTGAAGTTTAGATTTTTGTCTCAGGCTTCTTCAAGGTAGGAAAAAAAAAAGAAAAGAAAGAAAGTACTTTAAAATGTCAACATTCATGAACTTTATCAAGCCAGACACTTGATACTCAGAAAAGTATGAAAGAGAAGAAGAGAGATGCTCAAGCCTTTGCTAAGGAAAAAGGCCTTAGGTTGTGTATATTTCTTTATGCTGCAGTAACAAATTACCAAAACCTTGTTATCTTAAGACACAGAATTTATTATCTCATAGTTTTTGAGGCCAGAATTTCAAAATCGAGGTGTCAGAAGGACTGTGCTCTCCTGGGAGGCTCTGAGGGAGAATCTGTTTCTCACATCTCTAGCTCCTGGTGGCTGCCAGCATTCCTTGGTATCCCTTGGCTCATGGCCTCTTTACTCCAACCTGTGCCTCTGTTTTCACATCATCTTGTCCTGTATGTGAATCTAATCTCCCTCTAGTTCTCTTACAAGGACACTTGTGATCGAATTTATCCACCTGGAAGATCTAGGATGATCTCTTAAGATCATTAACTTAATTGCATTTGCACATTTTTAATCCTCAAATAAGGTCACATTTATAGGTTCCAGGAATTAGAACGTGGGTGTATCTTGAAGTGTGTATGGCATTTTTCAAATAACAATAGGCTATTGCCTGCTATTGGCATGAAAGTTAAAAGAAAAAGTCACCTCTAAATGATGGCCTTTTTAGATGGTAGCTATTATGATAAAATATTAATCCTCAAATGTGACCAATCAAGAAGAAGTCTTGGAGAGCACTGTCAAACAAATACATTTATGCTACAGCAAAATTAATAATGAGCTATATCCAGAATACCAAAATAATTTAAAATAATATGGATTTTTTTCAATAATTTCCAAATACTCCCTTTGAAATATATATATTTTAGTTGACTCTGGTTGATGCAAAATAAGAACTGAGGAACTGTTATTTTTCCTTTACCTAATATTTTGTATAGGAACATTAAAAAATAAACAAAAGTGAGACACGATATATTAACAGCTGATATAATTTACTGACTAGTGTATGTCAGTGTCAAAAGTAGACGAGAGAGAGATTCTTTTGAGTTACTTTAATGATGATTGAATTGATTTCTGACAAAGAAAGCACTTACATTCATTTTCCATATGTAATGACAAAGCTCTAAAAATGTAGGTTAATTTAATTAGCTGGCAGTCCTTGGTTGTACCTTTGAAAAAAGTGTTTTCTGTAATGCTTTTGTGTTCTTTAAAGAACTGAACTAACTTACTTTGATGCAAAAATCAGCAAGGAGAGCTCATCTGCTAAAATGCAAACTAGAGATGCTTTTCTATAGCTATTCTTGGGCACACTCAAATCAGGCTTTTTGAGTCCTAGATTGGCTACCTCAAACACCCCCTTATTTACATAAACTCTGGGCTTTTGCAGTCATCTCCATTGTGCAATGGAGTTTTTCTGCACGCATTCTGATTAGGCTTGTGTAAAAATGCATAAATTTTTCATCCAATCAAAGGCTGACCTGGGGGAAACTGGCAGGGAGTGGGTAGAGTAGGGGATTAGTAAATTGGCAATTCCTTTCTAACTTTAGTAGTCATTTGGATGAAATGAACCAGATCTTAAAGAGGGCAGCAGTACTGGTCTAAATAGAAATTGAATAAAATGCCTTTGACTTGCAAAAAGATATTGTAAAAAGAAACATGCAAAAAGAATAATTGTGAATTTATAGGAGATCAACCTGGGTGTTTTTCCAGAGTAAAAAAACAAATTAAAAAGCCCAAAGAATATGTAAATTCTTGATTGTCTATGCCAACATAACTGTTATAAAGTAACTTACATGAATAAGTAACAATCATTTTAATTTATTTGCTTATTTAATTTCTATTAAACTTATAACAGAGAAGGGCAAATTTGACAATGAGGGTAAGTACTGTAGATCACTTACAATTTTAGCTATTATGTGAGATATTTGGCTAACACTTGGTAATAAAGCACACTCAACAAGAAGGCAAACATACCAATGCATTTCTCTGAATTATATTTCAAATAAATATGAATATTTAAGGCATTTCAAACTGTGATATGTAAAGAAGAATGATTATATTATTTAAAATGTACAGAGGAGAATGTCACTGTAATTATCATGGCAATTTAAGAAGTATTCTAAAAGTACTTTATATATAAATTCCTTTATTATTAGAAAATGTAAATAGTATAAAACAGTTTTCCTTTAATCTGATAATAAATGATGGCTCCAAAGGACTATAATTTTATTAAATGTAAGCAAGACCTTTTAACAAAATCTTTTGAAAGGAAGAAATACTGAAGGTCAAATTGAGCATATATATAACAATTAAAGGAGTAGTGATCACTGCAAATAAAAAGAGCAGGGAGAGAGATGATTAATTTTGAAGTAAATCTATAGAATACCTGAATGGAAAACTATTGAATAATATAATTATTATTAAATGAAAGCTGGTAAAAGTTCAATTATATTCAAAATTATTTTGTTGCAATATAATAAACATGTATGAGCATTTATATAGACGCACGAATAAGACTCACTTTAAAATGTTGTTAGAACTGAAGGAAGTGTTTAAAAAAAAAAAACAGAGCAGGGCAGTACTTGAAGTGGGAAAAACAGATTTAATTTAGGAACTATTTTATGGAGCAGAAAACGGTGCTCTGGCTACCAACATCAGAGGAAGATAACAAAGGTCATCACTGTGCCAACCAAAAGAAAGAAAGTCCAAATGCCTTTGCCCTTTATAACTTGGCATCGGAGTCACCAAGGAAAACACAACACAGTCAAGAACTGGATGGAATAATACTCTTATTTAACGTCGAAGAGACAGAGCAAGATCGGTGCAATAATGTGCATTTATATCCTCTGCACCCCAAGGGCTAGTGGGCCACTAAGTCTTTATCCCCACCCCACTCTCAGCCTACACAGGGATTGGGCTGTAAACAGCAGCCCTCTCTTGCTGCAATAGGACCCAATCCCATGACTCTGAAATACTGAAAGCTGAGGCATGCCTGACGACCAATGATATGCACACTTAAGCAGAACAAAGACACTGAGTGTCAAACAGGAAAAGATATTCTTACATAGGTGATAAGCCCACACAGGTGGTGTGGGCGTGGTACCTCTTGGTAAGGAAGTGTGCCAGGCCCAAGGCCCATTCTTATGTTGCCTAGTAGGAGTCAAAAGACAGTACATGTGATACTGCCTTTCTCAACATATTAAAATGGGAGAAAGGAGAGCTCAGTATAGAACTGAGACCAGTTCCAAATACAAGGTAAAGTAGGGGTGTATAGCCAAGGAGCAGTGTTGGGAATGTCAGTGGAAGGGAAATTACTAAGAGGAAACATCAAGGCTAGAGGATTCCTATAGGCTGATCAAACAGGATTCTTTCTCAAGGCAGGCCAGGTTGACCAGATACCATCTGGGTGGATGGTGGAGGATGGTGGTTGGTTATCAAGCGTTGGGCATAAGTCTGGCTAAACTGACTAAACAGCAGTCTTGCTAGGCTATGCATGTCTAGCAAGGACAGTGTCTCATTGAGAAGAGGGCCTAGAGGAACTTGACTAAAGTTTAGTCAATGAGATTTTGTCAGACGTCGTCTATATTGATGTTATTTTAGCTATCCTGTGTGTGAGTATGAAGATATATACAAATTAGATTCTAAAGTTCCTCAATTTTCAGGTGGAGTCATTAAAGTATAAAGTGAGTTCTCTAAATAGTGAGGCCACATTAAAATTGGAAATAATGCAGAAGAAACAATGCAACAATAAAACTAGCTTCTCTGAAGGACTAACTGGGCCATCAGATGCTCATACATAATCTGAGGCACTAATTACCTATGCTTTATATAGAAAATTCTGCCTGTGAAGTCATCAGTGGATTCTTTAGCTAAAGGTATTATTACAAAATATTTGGCTTGTATGAAGAAAAGTACTTCTCCTTTCCAGAAAAAAAAATATAGGTAGCAATGCAGAATACATTATGGCTTTTGTCTGTGCTCCTCTGTAAGGATTTTTTTTAAGTGTCTTCTTTTCTCTTATATTGTTCCCTTTCTTTTTTTTTTTTTTCCTTTGGAAATATTTTAAGTTGAAGGATACCAAAAAGGGATAACAAGATAGCTTGATAATTAAAATATTTCATTATAAAGTGTTAATTCTAGAATTTTTCTTCCAAAATTTCCTCTCACACATGACTTCAATGCCTAGATCTTCAACCCCCATCTGATGAGCCTATTATCACATTAATGTTGCTCGAAATAAATATTCAAAGAAGTAAAAATACCACAAATCCTTTTTCTTCCTATCCACTATTCTGCTTTCCTTTCTTTCCCAGTAAAAGGACAATATTGCAGTAAAACAATAAATTATTTTCCATGCATATTGTCCTTGATTAATCATTTTCTACTATCCTTTTAACCCAATAATTATTTGCTTCTATTCAAGCTTTCACTGAATTAACGGTCATTAGGGACCTTCCCTGCATTAGCTTCTGTTACCAACTGCTGTGTTATTCCACTGCAGAAGCATTTAACACAGTTGTCTAATCTCTCCTCCTGAAACTCTGAGTTTTGTGTTTTGTTGAAAACAACTCTTTTCCTGCTTTACGGACTATTTCTATTAATTCTGCTTTGTGGGCTACCAGGTTTTCTCTGTGTTTAAGCATTACTAATCGTCCTAACAGTCTGGAATCTTTCCTCTGCCCAATCTAGATTTATTACTTGGATAATCAAAGCTGTTGCTATAGCTTTAGCGAATACCCGTGCCAGCTCCAGCTCCATCTGATGAGTAGAAAACTTAAATCAATATTGGTGTCCCAAACTCACACAGGCAACTGTGTAGGTGGAATCTCCTATGGAGATTTCTCACCTCATTTACTCATGTAGATGACATTTATCACTTTGTTTATTATTTTATTTTTTAGCCAACTAACATCTAAAAACACCTGTGGTTTGAGTGGAACACCCTCGACGTTTTCCTGCATGGCAGGCAGGACTTTGTCTTCTAGAAAAAAAACCAAGAACCCTCTCCCTGATGCCAGGCGGCCAAGAGAAAACACATGATTGCAGTCTGGCGAGTTACTTAGCTTCCCTCTGAGATTTGAATCCATAGGAAATAACAAGGAAATTCTGGTAAAAAATTAAAAAAAAATTAATGGTGCAGGAGGTTGTGACAGTGTCAAGAGGCCAGCAGGAGTCATGCCACAGTGGTACCCTACTGATGCTGTTCCTGTATGTCATGACCTTGTGTGAATTCTCTACCTAACCTTCCACTGCTTTTGACAGTTTTCTTTATCTAGTTCTGTAGACCTCATTTGTTTTCTAAGCTACTCTATAACTTTCCAATAATCTCATTTGTTCTCTGCTTAAAAATGACAGTGGATATTGTTCGGGAAAGAAAAAAACAAACACACCGGATTGATGGTATCCCAGAATGGGCCTCCTAGGCTGGCCAAACACAGAGCATTCTACTTCCTCAGTGTTTATTATTGTAGCAACTTGCACTTTCACCTGGTCACTCACACCAGAAACATGAGTGGTACCTGTGCTCTTTCCTCTCTACATTTAATTTATTCCTGTGTCTTATTAATTCCATAAATCTTATTTATATTTTGTGTCCAACCCTTCCTTTTCAGCCTAATTGCCCATATCTTATTTAAGGCCTCAGTAACATTTCAAATAGAATGTTGCAGAACTTGTAACTATGTTACTTGTTTCCCTCACCCCAAATACTTACTATATTAATGTGAGAAAAATATTAATATGAATAACAAAAGCATTTTAAAAATACAAATCTCATTATGCCAGTCACCACCTCTCTACAGATCGTCAATGGCAACTCATTGCTTTTTGAATAAAAAATTAACATTTCAGCGTATTATAAAAGCCCTTTTATAACGTAGTGGCATTTCCTTACTTCTATTATCTTGTTTCTCACTACAGTTGTAAATTCTAGTAATTTAAATTATTTACCATTTTCATATCATGTTTGTGTGTTTTCTCTCTTGTCACATAATGTAATTCTATTTATTTTTAATGCTTACTTTCAATCTCACCTGTAAAACCTGTTTTCATCAGTTCTAGTTGGCACATTTCCTCTTACATGACCTACTTCCTGTAAATATTGTGTTCCATTATACCTTCCCCCAACTCAATTATGATTATCATAATATTCCTGTTTTTTTGAGAAATCCTGGTCTTGTTCATCCTGTGTGAACCATTAGGTAAAATAATTCTACTTAAATTTGAATTTACAAATTACAGAATAGCAAATGACATAAAGCAGTTGCTCAACAAACATTTTTTCAATGAGTGAATAAATATATAATATCTTGAAATAAACATGATACTGAAGATGAGCCAGAGGAAGAGCCTAATCAATAACTTAAGCAGAGAAGCAAAAACCAACAAAAGATTTTGAGAAAAAATGGCCCATAGAGTAGTAAGAAATTCATAAATTTGATATCACAAAAGCCAAGAAAAATAACAAGTTACAAAAACATAAATTCACTTTTAGTTGTTGGAAGATGGTATCTGGCCAACCTTGATAAAAAGTCATGCTATTTTGAAATATACAATAAATTATTGTTAACTATAGTCATCCTATTTGCTCCTGAACACTGGATCTTATTCCTCTTATCTAACTGTATTTTGTACCCATTAACCAACACCTCTCTATCCCTGCAATTCCTATGACCCTTCCCAGCCTCCGGTAACTGCCATTCTAGTAACTACCCCCATTATATTTTATATAACTTGTAGCGCCCACATACAAGTGAGTAAGAACATGAAATGTTTGTCATTCTGTGCCTGGCTTATTTCACTGAAAATAATAACTTCCAGTTCCATCCATGTTGCTGCAAATGACAAGGTCTTATTATTTTTTTATGGCAGAATAATAAAGTAGACTTGGAATGTTCCCAACACAAAGAAATGGCAAATGTGTGAGGTGATGGATGATATCCCAATTACTCAGATTTGATCATTATATATTGTATGTTTTTATTAAAGCATTACATGTATTTTGATATATACTACTATTATGTATCAATAAAAATTAAAAATTAAAAATGACCATGTTTGTGAAGTGTTGAGGATGAAAGCACTTTCAGAGTGAATAGAATAGGAAACAGGGAGGTAAAGAATTAGAGAAAACAAACAGAAACTCAACTGGGAAATTCTATTGGAAAGATCAGGGAAGCAGGGTACTAGCTAGGGACAAACAGGCACAAACGTAAGGATTTAGTGAACTGTGTATGCTTAGTATTGGAGTGGTATATAATTAATTTTCATATTGTTTTATTTCTGTTAAGCTTTGTCAATATTAAGTGAATATCCACTGAGCTTTCCTGAAATGACTATTATTAATGGAAAAATTGATGCTTTGAATTCAAATGCTTGTTAAACTTTCATCTTGTTATTTTCTTTATATTCATTCTATTATATTAAATTCAGTTTGAAACTGGGTTGTGTCTTCCTTCTTAAAAATATCCATCTAAACAAGGACTTAATGATTATTAATTACGTTTTCCTTGTACAACATTGTCAAGCTGGTGCCAAGGATAAATTTCTGTAAAAGATTTTTCTGAATTGACTTGATACTAGTAATCAATTAGTTCAGAATTTTTCTACTAGATATAAACTTTCATATAGTGACATCTTACCCATATTTTCTACCCTATGACATTGTTTTCTAGAAATTCTCTTCACAAATAAAGCAACTGTTAAAAAGGAGAAAGTTATAACATTATTTTAAAAAAGCAAATCTCTCTGAATGATATAGTGGGGTACTTTGTTTTTATTTTCTAAATGTTTACCATGTGTTTTTTATACTGAGATTTCCAGCTATCATTTTGTGTTTTCTGGATATATTGTATTCAGATTTATCTTAACTAATTTAATGTATTTACTCCTTTCAAATCATAAAAACTATGCTCCTCAACCAAAATGGAATTAAATTAGAAATCAGTAATAGAAACAAATTTGTTTGTATATTCATAAATTCAGAAATTTTGGAAATTTATAAACATATAAACAACTTTGTTTCTATTACTGATTTCTAAATAAATAAATTTGGAAATTTATAAACATATGGAAATGAACACATTCATGAAGAATCTGTGCTTCAAAGAAGAAACCTCAAGATAAATAATAGAATAGTTTGAAATGAATGAAAATGAATACCAAAACATGAAATTCAGGTAAAATGGTGCTCAGCAGGAAATTTATTGCTGCAAATGCCTGTGTAAAATAAATAATATCTCACATCAATAACTTAACTTTCCACATTAAGAAATAAGTACTAGAAGAGCAAACTAAACCCAAAGCAAGCAGAAGGAAGGAAATAATAAAGATTAGAGGAGCAGAATAAAGAAAAATGCAACATAGACAACTTACGGAGATAATCAATGAAACAAAAGTGGTTTTTTGAAAGACCAACAATACTGATGAACAATTAGGTATATTGACAAAGAAAAAAAGAGAGAAGACTCAAATTACTAAAGACAGAAATAAAAGAGGTAATATCTATATCAAATTTTCAGAAATAAGGACTGAAAGAAAATTGTATAAACAACTGCTTGCTAACAAATTAGGCAACCTATATGAAATTTAAAAATTTCTAGGAATTCACAAATTATTAAAAGTGAGTAAAACATAAATTGACAATTTGAATAAACCTATAATATAGAAAGAGCTTAAGGTAGTAATTAAAAGAAAAAACTTTACACAAAGGAAAGCTCAGGTTCAGATTCCATCACTAGTGATATCAAACGTTCAAAGAATTACTACAAGTTCTTCACAAACCCTTCTATAATCCTCAAGTCATTCTGTGAAGTCAGTATTATCCTGGTAATAAAACCAGACAAAACTACCACATGAAAGAAAAGTATAGATCAGTATCTGCAATGAACATGGATATAAAAATTCTCAAAACAAAGACAAAACTAGCAAGCCAATCCCAGCAATATAAAGAGAATTATACCCCATGACCAAGTAAAATTTATCCCAGAAATATAAGTTGATTTAACATATAAAAATCAATTGATATAATATACCACTTTAACAGAATAAATGGTAAAAACTCTATGATTATTTCTTTAGATGCAGGAAAAAATTTGACAGAATTCATCACCTTTCATTATAGAAATGTTTAACCATCAAGCAATGGGAGTGAACTTTTTCAACCTGAAAAACAGCATCTTCAGAAACCTACAGATAATATTGTAAATAATGGTGAAAGACTTTAAGATAAGATAGGGGGAAAATAAGCTGAACTCTGGCCTCTTCTATTCACCATTGTACTGAACGTCCTAACTTGGGAAGTTAGTCAAGAAGAAGACATAAACATCATTCCTATTTGGAAGGCAGAAGTAAAACTGTATCTTTTTACAGATGATACAATATTATATCAATAAAATTGTAAGAGACCCACTAAAAACTACTAAAACTAATGAATAAGTTCTCTAAGTTTGCAGGATACAAAAATCACCAGAAAAGAAATTAAGAAAACACTCTATTTAGAAGAGCATAGTAAAAGAATAAATACACAGAGATGCGAGAGCTGCATAGAGAAAAGTATAAAACACTACTGATAGGAGTTAAGGTTTTAAATGAATAGAAACATCTCAAATCCATTGATCGGGAGTCTTGCTGCTGTTAAAATTGCAATGTTGCCCCAATTAACTTACATATTCAAAACAATCTTTTTCAAAATCTCAGCTGCCTTTTTAAAAAAAAAATGATTATGTGATTCTAAAATTCATATGGAACTACAAGGCACAAGATTAGCCAAAACAATATGGAGGACTCATACTTTCTCATTACAAAACTTACTACAATCCTGAAGAACTCAAGACAGTGTGGTACTTGCACAAGAATAGACACATAGATGAAAAGAAAAGAATCCAGAGTCCAGAAATAAAGCAACGCACTTACAATCCATTGATATTTAGCATGGTACTAAAACAATTTAATGGGGGCAAGAATAGTATTTTCAATAAATATTGCTCTGGACAACTGTAGATCCACATGCCAAAGAATAATGGTGGACCCCTACCACACAGATACAAAAAATTAACTCTAAATGGATCATAGACCTAAAGGTAAGAGCTAACATTATAAAACTTTCAGAAGAAAACATAGAGTAGATCATCGTGATCTTGTGTAAAGCAATGGTTTCTTAGATATAATACCAAAAGCAAAAAGTGGCAAAAATAAAATAGATCCATTGGCTTACATCCTAATAAAAAATTTTGTGTCATAAATGATATTATCAAAAAAGCAAGAAAGATAACCAACACAATAAGAGAAATATTTGTAAATCGTGTATCTGGTAGGGACCCAGTACACAGAACACATAAAGAACTTAAACTACTCAATAATAAGTAGATATGTAGCTCAATTATTTAAAAATGGGCAAAGAATTTGAATAGATATTTTTCAAAAAAAATCTACAAATGGACAAAAAGTATGTAAAAAGATGTTCAACAATATTAGTCATGAGGGAAATGCAAATCAAAACCACAATAAGGTACTACTTTACATCCACTATGATTGCCATAATCATAAACCAAATAATAAAGTTGGTTAGAATGTGGAGAAATGGAAGCCCACATGCATTGTTTCTGGGAACGTGAAATCACAAGCCACTTTGGAAAACAATTTGGCATTTCCTCACAATTTTAACATATGTACATATGACCCAGCAATTTCATGTCTACCTATATATCTAAGAGGAAGGAAAACACAGGTCCACATAAAATCTTGTACATGAATGTTCGTAGTATCATTATCTCTAATTGCAAAAAAAGTAGAAATAACTCAAATGTTCATCAACTGATGAATAGATAAACAAAATGTGGCATACCTATATGATGAAATATCATTTGGCTGTGGAAAGACATGAAGTCCTGACATATGCCAACATATGGATGAACCTTGAAAGCTTTCTGCACAGTGAAAGAAGCCAAACATAAATAACCACATATTGTATGGCTTCATTTGCATGAAATGCCCATGATAGGCAAATGTATTGAGACAGAAAATAGCTTAGTGGTGGCATAGGGCATGGTAGATGTGTGGTGATTACTACTATTGGGTTTGAGGCTTCTTTTGGTGGCTAGTATAAAAATATTCTAAAATTCAATTGTGTTGATGGTTCATCAACTCTGTGAACATACAATAAAAATATTAAACTTTACCTCATAAATGTAGAAATTTTGAAATTTAAATATAAATAATGCTATTAAAAATAAAAAGCTGCAGTTTAAGAAAATATCAGATCTTTTTTTCTTTTCCATGTTTTTCATCAGAGATTTTTAATGTTACCATTTTCAAATTTATAATTGGCAGAAAATCAGAAGACAGATTATTCCCCATGATAGGCTCCTATCCTTTGAATAATTTTGCATGCTAAGGATGAATTTCATTTTTCCACTTCTTCATAAATTCAGAACCTTATAAATAACTTTCTTTGTGAAAATTGTAAACTCATTTCTTTCCAGTGCATTTTTGAGCCCTATGGTTACCTTGTGCACATATCTTCTGCCTTTTATTATTACTATTATTTTAAAATACTGGTGGCCAAACCTATGATAACATTTTTCTCACTCACTCTTCTCTAACACATTTAGCTTTGTAGTTTTATTTATATTTTTTCCCATGTGTATGCAGCTTATAGTTGAAAATTTAGATCAAATAATTGTCTTCATAATATATTTCTTCATTTTCCTTTTTAATCTTCCTACTAAAGAATTTATTTTCTCATCATTGTTATAATGGCTAAAACCACAAACATATACAAAATTCGGATGAAATCTATGAACAAAGGAAAGTGAACCCCAAAAGCAAATATAAGATCTCAAGGAGATCTATTTTATGTATTTTCTCTCCTGAATTAGCTTAAAAGGGCTTAAGGTTGCCAAGAGTTGTAAATAATAATTAAATATATAAATAACATAAAAAGGAAGCAAGACAAATAGCAAATAAAAAATTGAATTGGAGACAATTAAGTCATATTTAATAAGAAAAATCCTATGCACTTACTAGAGTTGAAAACTATCCAATTTTATGGTCTATAAAATTAGGATATTTTGTGCACATGTACCCTAAAACTTAAAGCATAATTAAAAAAAGACAAATAACAAATAAAAAATTGAATCGGAGACAATTAAGTGATATTTAATAAGAAAAATCCTATGCACTTACTAGAGTTGAAAACTATATATCCAATATTATGGCCTATAAAATTAGGATATTTTGTGCACATGTACTGTAAAACTTAAACTATAATAAAAAATTAGGATATTTCTAGACAAATGTACTAATCTTACAAAGTTATTTTTTATGTTTACATGGTTCCTGAGTTAAAAGCAAATCATTTATGAGAAGTACCATTATTCCCAATATGTAAAAGAAAATAAATTGAAACACACACTTGATGTATTAATTCAATAAATCTTTATCGATTACTTTTATGTATCAAGAATATATCTAGATACCTGGGATACATCAGTGAACAAAGGAGGAAAAAGATTCCTACTTTTGTGGAACTTACACATTACCATGTAATGTAGACAATAAAAGTGAACTTAATAAGTTATATAATATGCTAAAGGAGGTAAATGCTATGAGAAGCAGTAAAAGTGAAGCAAGGTAAATGGGACGGGAATAGCAGGGTGTATTTAAATAGGGTGCTTAGGTAAGCTTCATTGAGAAGGTATCATTTGAACAAAGACTGAAAGCAAGGCAGGGATAATCAACTGCAGGAATGGTCTACAGTAGTTCTACCTGATCCATGATTTTGCTTTCCACAGTATCAGTTATCTGTGGTCAACCAGGTTCTGAAAATATTAAATGGAAAATCTCAGAGATAAATAATTCATAAATTTTAAATTGCATGCTGTTCTGAGTAGCATGATAAAATGTTATCCTGTTTCACTGTGTCCCACCCAGGATTTGAATCAACCCTGTGTTCAGCATGCCTTGCTGTAGGTGCTACCCACCTGTTAGTAGTTACCTTGGATTGACTGTCTTTACTGTCACAGTATTACAGTGCATGTGCTCAAGTAATGCTTATTTTACCTAATAATACTTTACTAATAGTAACTTAATTATTAGATATTATCATTAATTTCTTATTGTGTCCAGTTTATAAATTAAACATTACCATAGGTATGTATGTTCAGGAAAAACAGTATATAGAGAGTCTGGTACTATCTGTGGTTTCTGGTATCCACTGGGGGCCGTGGAACACGTCTCCTGCGGATAAGGGGGACTTCTGTACAAAGAAAAGGAATCAGCCAGTGAAAGGGGGATAAGGCTGGTGAGTAACTGTAGTGTTTGAGGAACTACCAGGAAGCCACTATTTCTGGAACCACCTAAGAAAGAGGAAAAGTAGTAGGAGATGTGATTAGAAAAAGAAAGAATAAAAATGGGGAAAGAGGACCTTTTAGCTTTTAAAATAAATTAGACTTACTATAAGTGAAATGGACAAGATTGAACAGAGGAGTGATACACTATAACCAAACTTTTAAGTCTCTTTCTGGCTATTTTGTTGAGAGTAAAACAAAGTCATCAGGGAGGCTGCTGGAATGATCCAGGCGAGTAATGGTGTGGCTTGGGTTGTGGGTAGTGGAGAAAGTCCTACCACAAGGAGGTGGATTTATTACATATTGGGTGTGTGTATGCATTTCAATACATAAATGTAGCATATAGATGTATATCTTAAATGTATAAATGAATATAATATAAGGACACTGAATATAGTTTAACAAGCAAATGACAAGATAGCCTAAGAACATCTCTGGTATACATAGACTTTTTTTATAAATTGACTTTCGATCATTAAAAAATGTAAAATCGTAAATATAATAGTCTTATATGACTTATAAGAGATCAAACCCTTGGACATCCAGTAGTAATAAGAACTCTTCGCCACCTTTGGGACAAGATGGCTAACTAGAAGCAGCTAGCGTGTGCCGCTCTCATAGAGAGAAATACAAGGGTCAAGTAACCAGAGCACCTTTAACTGAAACACCCAGGTACATGCATTGGGATTCATCAAGAAAACAACTTTACCTATGGAGAATGGAGAAAAGGAAGGCAGGACAACTGCCCAGCTGAGAGTGACATGGAGCCTGGGAAGCCTCCCCTGCCCAGGGAAGTGATGGGTGAGTGAGTGAGAGACCTCAGATACCCACACGTTTCCCATGGATCTTCGCAACCCTTGAGTCAGGAGATAACCTCATGAACCCACTGCACGTGGTCCTTCAATCTGAGATGCAGAGCTGCAGGGAGTCCCAGCAGAGTAGCTGCTCAGGCACACGTGGAGCCCTGAGAGCTTTAGATACCAGCTTCCTGGCAAAAGCGGCTAAACTCTGGCAAAGTGGGAGGTCAGACCCCTTTCCATACCCTTAGGAAAGGGGCTGAACAGCAATGGTCTGCAGGCACCACTTCCAAGCCACCACTTCCAAGGCACCTCACAGGATAAGACCCACTGGCTTGGAACTCCAGCCAGCCACGGGTAGCACTGTTACACCTCCCTGAGACAGAGCTCTCATAGGGAAAGACGGGCTGCCATCTTTGCTGTTTCACAGCCTTAGCCATTAATGTCTTTGGGCTCTGGGGAATCCAAGGTGACTAGAGACTGGGGCAGTCACTTGGCACAGGGCAGCAGCTCTGTGAAGAGGTGGCCAGACTGCTTTGTCATGTGGGTCCCAAATCCTGTTTCTCTTCACTTGGCAGGATCTCACGGACCGGAGTCTACAACCATCCCCACCAGTGTTTTCCAGCTAGCAGCATTTCCAAACTTTTCTGAGACAGAGCTTCCAAAGAAAGACACGGGCCACCACCTCTGTTGTTTCACAGGCTCAGCCATAGTTGCCCTTGGACTTTGAAGAGTCCAAGGTGACTAGGGGCTAGAGTGGATCCCCCAACACAGCACAGCTGCTCTATATAAAAGCGCCAGACTGCTTTTTTACGCAGGTCCCCAATCCCATTTTTACTCACTGGGCAGGACCTCTCGACTGCCCCCCACTCACCCTCCATTGTGTCTGGGCTGGCAACAGGTTCATACCTCCCTGAAATGAATCTCCTAGAGGGAGGTACAGGCCTCCATTTTTGCTGTTTTGCAGACTTCACCGTTGATACTTTCTGGTACTGAAAAATCCAAGGTCAATAGGCACCGGAGTGGACCCCCAGTATAATGCAGGAGTCCTATGAAAAAGTGGCCGGACTGTTTGTTACATGGATCACCAATCCCATATCTTCTCACTGAGCAGGTCCTCCCAGCCTGGGTCACCAGCCACCCACCACAAGGACTATTGGGCCAGTAGCAGCTCTGCAACTCCCTGTGACAGAGCTCCCAGTGGAAGGGGTGGGTTGGTATCATTGCTGTCTTGCAACCCTCTTTCTTGCTGTCTCCAGGCCCTGATAAGTCCACAGGACAAGAGGATTGTCTGAACCCCCAGCACAGAGCACCCACCTCATGGAAGACTCTCAATAAGCTAGATATTGAAAGAACATGCTTCAAAATAATAAGAGCCATCTATGACAAACCCACTGCCAACATCGCACTGAATAGGCAAAAGATGGAAGCCTTTCCCTGGAAAACTGGCAAAAGGCAAAGATACCAGATCTCACCACTCCTATTTAATATAATATTGGAAGTCCTGGCCAGAGCAATCAGACAAGAGAAAAAGATAAAGGGCATACAAATAGGAAGAGAGAAGGTGAAACTATCCCTCTTTGTTGACAACATGATTCTATATCTAGAAAACCTCATAGTCTCAGCCCAAAAGCTCCTTGATCTGATAAACAACTTTGGCAAAGTCTCAGGATACAAAATCGATGTACAAAATTCACTAGAATTCATATGTACCAACAACAGCCAAGCCAAGAAACAAATCAGGAATGCAATCCCATTCACAATTGCCCTAAAATAATAAAATACCTAGTAATACAGCTAACCAGGGAGGTGAAAGAGTTCTACGATAAGAATTACAAAACACTACTCAAAGAACTCAGAGATGACACAAGTGGAAAAACGTTCTCTGCTCGTGAATACGAAGAATCAATATCATTAAAATGACCATACAGTCCAAAGCAATTTATAGATTCACTGCTATTCCTATTAAACTACCAATAACATTCTTCACAGAACTAGGAAAAAACAATATTAAAATTCATATGGAACCACAAAAGATCCTGAATAGCCAAGGCAATCCAAACCAAAAAGAACAAAGAGGCATCATGCTACCTGACTTCAAACTATACCACAAGACTACAGTAACCAAAACAGAATGGTTCTGGTACAAAAACAGGCACATAGGTCAATGGAATGGAATAGAACCCCCAGAAATAAGATCATACATACAACCATCTGATCTTAGACAAAGCTGACAAAAACAAGCGATGGAGAAGAGTCCCTATTCAATAAATGGTGGTGGGATAACTCACTAGTCATATGCAGAAGAGTGAAACTGGACCTCTTCCTTATACCATACACAAAAATCAATTCAAGATGGATAAAATACTTACATGTAAAACCCAACACTATGAAGACTCTGGAAGACAACCTATACAATGCTATTCTGGACATAGGAACTGGCAACGATTTTATGACAAGGACCCCAAAAGCAATTACAACAAAAGCAAAAATTGACAAATGGGATCTAATTATTCTTAAGAGCTTCTGCACAGCAAAAGAAACTATCATCAGAGTGAACAGACAACCTACAGAATGGGAGAAGATATTTGCAAACTATGCCTCTGACAAAGGTCTAATATCCAGCATCTATAAGGAACTTAAACAAATTTGCAAAAAAAAAAAAAAGTTACAAAGCTGGCAAAGAACATAAACAGACACTTCAAAAGAATGTATATATATATATATATATGCAGCAAACACAGAAAAAAAGTTCAATATCACGGATTATTAGAAAAATGCAAATGAAAACCGCAATGAGAGACCATCTCCCACCAGTCAGAATGACTATTACTAAAAAGTCAAAAAGCAACACATGCTGGCTAGATAGTGGAGAAAAATGAATACTTATACATTGACGGTGGGATGTAAATTAGCGCAGTCATTGTGGAAAGCAGTGTGGCGATTCCTCAAAGAACTAAAAAGAGAACTACCATTCAACCCAACAATCCCATTACTGGGTGTATATCTAAAGGAATATAAGTCATCCTACCATAATGACAATGATACATGCATGTGTATGTTCATTGCAGCACTGTTCACAATAGCAAAGATATAGAATCAACCTAAATGCCCGTCAATGGTAAAGTGGTTAAAGAAAATGTGACACATATACACTATGGAATACTATGCAGCCATAAAAAGGAACAATATCATATCCTTTGCACAATGTGGGTAGAGCCAAAGGTCATCCTGCTTAGCAAACTAATGCAAGGACAGAGAACCAAATATTGCATGTTCTCACTTATTAGTGGGAGCTAAATGATGAGAACACACAGACACAAAGAGAAGAACAACAGACACTGGGGGTTACTTGAGGTGGAGACTGGGACGAGGTAGAGAAACAGAAAAATAAATTACTCTTGGGTACTAGGCTTAGTACTTGGGTGATGAAATAATCTGTAAAAACAAAGCTCTGTGACATAGTTTACCTACATATAACACACCTGTATATGTACCCCTGAAATTAAAGGTTAAAAAGCAACCCTTAGCCATCCTGTAGTAACACGTTTCAGTAGTAACTGTAGCAATTATTTTGCTATGTATAGGACATAGACATGGACATAGACATAGTCGTATACATACACATACACTTAGACATAGGCATAGACATATACTTTACACTTAGACATAGATATAAACATATACTTGCCCTCTCACTAACATACAATGTATATTACTTATAGCCTTATCATTTATTACCATCATCTTGTGTTGAAGAAAGTCTCAAAGCCTCAAGCAAAACCTTCATAATTGATGACTTAAAAGATATAGATTGCCTATACCATCCTTTCATTGGAAGTGTACCACTGCATGCTCTCATTAAGTTATTATTCTAGGAGATCATATGACCCAGATTTTTTCAGTATATCTTACTGACTCAGGGGTGGGTACATTAGCCAACCCAAACCTACTGATCCTCTTTGTAATTGGAATTAAAGGCATGTGGTTGGATAGACAGTGACAGTTCCTGGATCTAAGTTCATTTTGAGTCAAGGTCAGACCTGAACTAGAGATAACAAAACCCACTTTGCTATTATGAGAGAGTAAGAACTAAAAGCTTTAAAGGATGAAAGATTGTGTGTGTCTCTGTGTGTGTGTGTGTGTTTGTGTGTGTGTGCGTGAGAGAGAGAGAGAGAGAGAGAGGGAAATAGACTCAAATAGTTATTAAGTGATCCTATGATGGATCATCCTCCTTTATTGAAATCATTTAAGTGCAGTTTTGTACATTGCAATTTAGTTATCCCTAGTTTAGATGCTATACTAAAGCAATGTTTTCTAAATTTAGGGAATGTTCTTTTTCTTCTTCTCTTTACCCTGTCAAAACAATTCAAATACTACAACATTTTATGTTCTTTTTCTTCAATGCTTATGACCATTCAAGGTTCATTTCAATATCAACTTTGAGTTTAAATTTAAATATATATTTTCTTATGATATGTTTATATTCTTTAAGCACTTTAATGAGCATATTTATAGTGAACATTTTATATTAAAAGAATTCTCTTTTACTAGTATTCTTTCAGCATGCAGCTTTAGTAAGACTTTTCTCAACTTGCTGCTCTCATAATATATATATTTTTGCTTCTGTCTTGACCCTTTTGAAATAACATAGTCATGTTTACTGCTTTCAAATCCTCTAGAATCTCTCCCAAGTCTAGTGAACTTTAAAAAATGTCAGTTAAAGGTTCACTGGTTCTCTTGTTCACTTCCTTTAAAATTCATGGATAGCCGCCATTGAGATCACTGCTCTGTCTGCTTGAAGCATAGTTCCTTTAGCAGTTTTACTGTTTATCTGTATCTGTCTTTTTCTTACAATCTTACAAAATCTGGTTTTGGATGAAAAATATTTTATCATTTTATTCTGAATGCAAATTTAAATAAATATTTTTACTATGTATAACTAAAATGATAATGACATGATTTTGTTGTGGAAAATGATTTTTGATATCTGAAGTTAAAATCAGGGAAAATAGGTGTAGTTAAAACTAATGGTTATATAAGTGTTTTCTTAAAGCTGTTTTAAATACCTTATTAAAAGTTATGCTTATATAGAAGGATTCAATGACATTAAAAACCTCTTATCTTATTTCTTAGAAGTTATGTGCAAAACATTACTGCATACCTGATAATTTTTTCTGTGGTAACAGAGTTCAGTGAAGCAATATGGATACATATATATGTAATGTGTATGTAATATACATGTAATATACATATGTATGTAATATACATATGTATGTAATATACGTGTAATATACGTATGTAATATACATGTAATATACGTATGTAATATACATGTAATATACATATGTGTGTAATATACATGTAATATACATATGTATGTAATATACATATGTATGTAATATATGTAATATACATGTAATATACATATGTATGTACTATACATGTAATATGCATATGTAATATATGTACTATACATGTAATATACATATGTAATATACATGTAATATACATATGTAATATATGTGTAATATACATGTAATATACATATGTATGTAATATATGTGTAATATACGTGTGATATACATATGTATGTAATATATGTAATATACGTGTAATATACATATGTATGTAATATATGTAATATACGTGTAATATACATATATATGCACATTGCTCTAAAAAAGAGAGCCTATTTTTAAATGATATTTCCATTATTCAAACTTTGTTCATCTAGTCATGGTAGATCTAACTAACCAAAAATTCGTAAGTATACAGAGACCTACGTTGAGCTGATAGTTGTTTAATAAAGAAACTATAGGTATATATAGCAAAATAAGATGAGTAACTTTCTACATAAAATTTTAACACTATTTTGAATTCAAGTTTTTACCTTTAATAAATAGTTTTATACAGTTTAATTTTAGGTACATATTCAGAAAGTTACCCTTTATGTAAGTAGATTATTTGTTTGAAATTAACACATCATTTGTTTGGAATTTGGGAAATTAAATTTTAGGCAGCCCTAACAGTTTATTTCCACAGATTATTGGAAATGATGTTACATTTTACAGCACATTTCATCATAGTATATTCATAGAGTAATATTGTCAAATAAGTTGTTTCATAATGTATATATTGCAAGAAATTAATGTCCATTAAACCATGTTTACATGACATACTAAACAGTTACCTTTTCAGGATCTAAAGCTATACTCCATCTAAAATAAGACATGCCTGAAATTTGTCAAGAAGGGGATAAAACATGACTATTGATGATTGATATGCACCAGTGAAGAAGTTCTAACTTTTAGCATGCTGCACAGAAACTGGTATAACATGCCTTCAGTATACTAACATTCATATGCTCAGTTTTGTTTTGTTTTATTTTGGCAGTTGACAAGAAGTTAATTTGCTCTAGTGAAAATCCCTCATTCCAACCTTTCTATATAAATAGCTCTTCCTTGCTGTTTTAATGTGGTGCACACTATAGCCTCACAAACCTGTTATTCCAATATAATATGCAGTGTTGTAAATAAAGTTACTGGCTTGGTCTTATTTGCACAGGGTAATGGAAGAAAAGGACAGGGAGAGATTTGTTAAAGAATATACAATTAAAGCTAGATAGGAGGAATAAGTTCTAGTGTTCTATACCACTGTTAGGATGACTGTAGTTAACACTAGTAGACTTTCAAGTAGCTAGAAGGAGGATATTGAATGTTCCCAACACAAAAAAATGATAAATGTTTGAGATGATAGGTATGCTAATTACCCTGAACTGATCACTACACATTATATGCATGGGAAATTCAATGTACTCAATAAATATGTACAAATATTATGTGTCAATTTAATAAAAGAGAATATTTTGGAATAGGTGTAGCACTAGGAGCCTGGTGAAGCCAAACAAGGGTGAAGGCCTGGCCAGAATGTGACCAAAGGCTCTATTCCTAGCTTCGGTAACACATGAAAAAGGACATTGAGTTCTTCCTTCACTGCAGTCCTGCCTCAAGTGAGCTGTGCCTGTACCCTGGAAATGGAAACATTAGCTCTTCCTTTCCTCAACACCTACTTCCTCAGCATTCTGCAAAGCCTTCAGCTGGAGTGAAGTCTTCCATGACACAAGATTTTTCTAAATCACTTCCTGATTGAAAACATTGCTTACATTGCCCCAGGATACCCATTCTTGACCATGAGGTATTATATTTGAATATACACTGATGGATTTAGTTTGATAACATTTTTATTACAGATTTTACATTCTTGTTTGTAAGACAGACTGGACTATAATTTTTTCTTTCTTTATATTAATATCTTTATCTTGTCTTGCAATTAAATTTATACTACCTTGTAAGTATTATGGAAACGCACTTTTTTATTTTTAATTCTCTTGAGAATTTATTTTATTTTTAATTATCTTGAGAAATTTTTAGTGAAAACTAATCTGTTTCTTGAGAAGTTATAAAAAATCTTCTCAATCTTTCCTTTTAAACCTGGGAAAATTTTTAACTACTGTTTGTTTTTAACGATCATAGAACAATAAAAGCTTTTTTTTTTTTCAAATTTCTCTTTAGTAGGTTTTCACAAGTTACTTATTCTAGAATTTTTTCGTTTCCCAACTAATATTGTTTATTTGTGTCTTTTCTTATTTTTTGATTGATTTTGCAAGCTGTTTATGAATTCTACTAGCCTATTTAAAAAAGATGTTGCTTTTGGTGGTTTCTCTAGAATATTTCTATATTCAAATTAATTTCTATTATAATATTTATTAGTTTCCTTTTGAAAAATTTTCGATACTTTTTAAAACATCTTAAGTGGTACATTTAAGTATTAGCTCCACCTCTTTTTAAGGCTAAAATTTTCTAATTACTACTTTGGTTTCAGCCATCTCAATGAAATATGTAATGTTTTATAATTGTTCAATTTTTAAAAAAATTTCAAATTTTAATGATATTTTTGATGTGTCACTTAGCTTTTTTAATTTCCAAATTAATATGACTTTTAAAAACCATGATTTTATTAATTTAACATACATGCTAGTGTTTCCAAGCTTCCTGTTCATTTTTCACAAATCTTTGCCTTTCTTTTGGTTTATTTTTTAGTTTTTCACTAAATTCACTTGCATTATCTGCTCACTTAGAAATTATTCACCCTATTACTGGGTGAATAATAATTCTGCTTACCCCCCCTATTGACTTATGTAATATTTTATTATATTTGTTTTCTCTCTTTTTAACCCAATGATTTATTATTTTTACCATTTTATATGGTAAGTGCTTGCTTATATTTACCTATGAAATTACTATTATTTTTTGATGACCACATTTTCTTACACTGCAGGCTTTTTCTGGTATTATTTTTATTATATTTTTGAGACGAAGTCTCACTCTGTCGCCCAGGCTGGAGTGCAGTGGCATGATCTCGGCTTACTGCAACCTCCGCCTCCCAGATTCAAGAGATTCTCCTGCCTCAGACTCCTGAGTAGCTGGGATTACAGGTGCCCACCACCACGCCTGGCTAATATTTGTATTTTTAGTAGAGATAGGGTTTCACCATGTTTGACAGGCTGGTCTTGAACTCCTGACCACAGGTGATCTGCCCACCTCAGCCTCCCAAAGTGCTGAGATTACAGGCATGAGCCACCACACCTGGTTAACATTAATTTAAAAAGTAAGGTAAAATTGGAGATTGTTCAGTAATGGAAGAGTGACTGGCAATAACTTTGGCCTCATCACAAAGCTCGTCTTCCCCATAGAGATCGTGACTGCCTGATTTGCTGCCTGATTTGTGTTTCCGAGCAATACCAGTGGTTAAAAATCTTTTCCAACACATTCTCTGTTATCTTGCACTTTGTTTCAGAGGTCAAAGGCTGCATAGTTTCAAATGTTTATGTTGTTGCTGTTCAGCAACCCCATATTAGTTATTGTTGGGAAAAAATATTCCAGCTTATAGAACAAAGTTTATTTTTTGAACATAAATTGCAAAATTTAATTTTTTTTAATCTTTTCTTGAATTACTTTTATGGGTACTTTTTGAATCACATCCTCACACATACACATACACTGTTAAAACACATTCACACACACACACACACACACACATGCACACAGCATTTGTTCTTCAAGGTTTAGTCTTACTTTTATTTATCCTTTTTCTACACTTTCTCAAAATTTTTTTGTTTTTTTGTTTTTGTTTTGTTTTTTGAGACATAGTCTCCCTCTGTCACCCAGGCTGGAGTGTAGTAGCACGATATGGGCTCACTGCAACTTCTGCCTCCCGGGTTCAAGAGATTTTTATGCCTCAACTTCCTAAGTAGCTGGGACTACAGGCATGCACTGCCACGTCCAGCTAATGTTTTGGGGGGAGTATTTTTAGTAGAGACAGGATTTAGCCATGTTGCCCAGGCTGATCACGAACCACTGGCCTCAAATGATCCACCCACTTTGGCCTCCCAAAGAGCTAGGATTACATGTCCATAGCCAACTTTTATCTTGCACCTGCTTTAATTACCATCAATACCGCAGAAGGCTTAAATGTTTGCATCTGCAGGCTGGATGGAGCTCTCTTCTCTGAGACTGAGACTTGAATTCCTATTTAACCTCCCTCCCCACCACATCCACACATTAATTCTGCCTCTTCTCCAATCTGTTTTCTATAGGATAACCAATGCAGAACTTTCAACATACAAAACCAAACCCCACAATTCTGGTGTAAAGTATGTTAATGATTTCACACTGTTCTAAGAAGGAAAACCAAAATCCACAACATGAACTAAACAGACCTGTGTAATGGAGCCCTACTTCATTCCAGCAGCCTTTTATTCTTCTCATACTCACTTTAATATCCCTGGCTTGTCTAATTATTCAAACGACTAATGTTACCTTCTGCTGCCAGTCATTTCCTGAGACTTACCCTTCTTTGTAGACTTTTATTTTTACTGAGAACACATTTGTACTTCGTTTAGATCTCTGGTTTCCCATCATTTCCTCACTGACATCCTTGTGCTCCTTATTTTTGTAGACATCTTCTATTTTATGCTCACAACATCATGTGAAGCCCTTAGCAGCTGTAGCATATATTTTTTCTGATTACATAATTAGTTTCATATGATAAGCTTAATGGAGCAGGAATGTAATAGATCTGTTCACTACTTTATCCATAATATCTATCAAAGAGAATCGTGTCTACTTGTCCTCACTTGATATTATGAATACATTAAATAGTAACCAACCAGATTAGGCTCTCATCTTGTTGTCTCTAATGATCCCTTACAACATCTGTATTAGTCTGTTCTCTCGCTGCTATGAAGAAATGCCTGAGACTGGGTAATTTATAAAGAAAAGAGGTTTAATTGACTCACAGTAGTGCATAGTTGGAGAGGCCTCAAGAAACTTACAATCATGGCAGAAGTCACCACTTTACAGGGTGGCAGGAGACAGAATGAAAGCCAAGTAAAGGAGGAGACCCCTTATAAAACTGTCAGCTCTCATGAGAACTCACTCACTATCATGAGACAAGCCTGGGGAAAACAGCGCCCATAATTCAATTATCTCCACCTGGTCCCGTCCTTTACACATGGGGATTCAAGGTGCGATTTGGGTTGGGACACAGAGCCAAACCATGTCAACGTCTTTCAAATTTTATTTAATTATTGATTTGGAACTACTTCTCATAATGTTTATTTTAGAAATTAATATGTATGCCAGGCGAAACTGAGTTGGCAGTAGAATTTGAAACATTACAGGCACTCAAAAATATTTGTTGATTCAATGAAGAATTGGACACTGTGTGCACATATCGTGGATAGTTACATTGAAGTACTATCAACCCTAAAGAATCCTGCCTTCAAATTTGAAATTTAATTGTCATTATTTGTCTTTAGAGTTTATAGCACTAATGATCTTAAATATAAGCTGTCTATTTGTTTACAGTTACCAAGTAAAAAAAATGTAAGGGTAAACAGTAGGGGTGTCTATAGAAATTACATCAATACCAATGACATACTCAGCAGTGGGGGGGCTGTAACAGTAGTTTTGTAGGCCCCAGAAGGACTCATCCACAGTTACACTTGGGCAAAGGTCCCAAGGTTGGTAGCTTCAACCCCCAAGCAAGAGAGCATTAACTTTCCTTCATGTTGGTGCATCAGAGTCACCTGTGCACAATTATCTAAAAGGCCCAAGAGATGTAATTTTCTTTTATTTCCACAGTGAACTCTAATCTTGGCATAAGGTCTCTAGTCCTTCCTGGGAACAGGGAGATATGGTTTAACCCCCGGTTGAGTTTATTTCAGAAAGTCGAGAGGTCTGGACAAAGAATGACAGAGATCTTTGACTCACCTCCAGGCCCACAGGGAGAACTAGGGGAGTGAAATCTTTGTCAGGATTTGTCCACAAGTTTTCTGGGGTAGTGAAGAGAAGGTGGGGAGCTAGCGTGAGTAACTGCTGCTATCACTGTTGCCGTTTGTGTTTTGGGTTGTTGACAGGGGTTTCTCAGGGCACTTTGGGGGGGAGTTTATAGTAATGTGCCCTACATCATGCCACTCTCTCTTATTAGCTTAGGTAAGATTACTTCTGGAGAAGTACTAACCAAATCTCTAAAGTTTCTTGGGGCCACTAGGCAAAGTAATCTTGAAGGCTCTAGACTCTTCTGTTTTTCTTCTGAGGTTTCAACAACTTACTGTGTAGCAGAGTTTTTATCAGTATTGGGGACCTGCTTAGAGTACCTCAGCTCCCACGAGTCCCAACTCCATTTCTGATCCTATTGCTGGAAGCCGACAAACAGTGGTTATAGCCACTAGGAGCAGCTAGGGAGCAGTTAGGAAACTGATTGTCTAGTTTTGTTTTTTCAAATCTCTCCATTGGATCTCTAACCTGACTCACTAAGGGAGTTTAGCCAGGATTCAAGAACAAAAGACAACCAAAGACCCCCCTCTTGGAACCAAAAACCACATATAAACAACCTGTTGGCATCCTCCAAGCATGCTGCACTCCTGCTAGCACTTCCCAAGACCAACTGGCATGGCTGGCCAACTGCCTCACTGGCTCCACTAGCACTTCCCGACACTTATTGTTGAAGTACTCAGCAGGGCCCTCAGACTCTTGTAAATCATCCACTGGCACACTCCTTTAGAATGTAAGAGAGGCTACAATAGCACCTCTCAAACGTGCCCTGCAGCATCTTTCAGCTTTTGGCTCTTCATAATGGCATTCTGCTTAATTGATTACCCTTTTGCTGAGCCAGGTTTTCAGAAGCTCAGGTGAGCTAGAGAGAGGGCTAAACTTCCAGGTGTTGAAGTAGCCAATTAAAGTCACAAGCCAAAATGGAAATAAAAGTCAAGCCTCTAACCACTTTCTGTGATCATATAACCAAGAGGCTACACTAGAGAAAGCATGAACTTCCCCTTGTTTCATTTCCCACCATGGATGAGCAACAGTTTGTTTTACTATATCCTCTTTTAAGTTTTTCCTCAGGAAGAGAGACCCCTTGGATCCCTAAAAAGGATATTCTCTGAGTATTAATGGAGAAGTGGATCCATGATGCAAAAATAAAGATTATAGCAGCCATGGAAGCAAGCCACTCAAATCTCTCCTCAATAGAGAAATTGCTGTTCAAATGAAAGAAGTGCAGTTAGCTAACAGTCTCCAGCTGTTAGCATCCTCAGGCTCTGACTCAGCTTTCTAAGGTCACGCACTTCTTAATCAGGCCACAGCCAATGACTCACTTGATAAAGGTATTAGAGTGTGGTCACTACTACCCAACCTAGGAATTCTCCACATGTAGCCTATGATACAAATGTTGACACCAGACCACAGGGTCTGTGGAAATGATTTTGGATTTGTGTTTGTAAAATTTGTATTCAAATTTTAATGAAAAAAAACATTAAGACTACTTTGTTTTTATGTTTCTTGGAAAACCATTGAACTCTATTTCTTATTGATACACACTATATGTGTGGGTATGTTCACAGATTATTTTATAAACTGAGAAAGAAAAAAATACACTAAAAGGTTGATAGGTTTTAATTCTCCTAAAATATTCCTGAGACTTAATGAGCATAAAATAATGCTTCTACAATGCCCTGTAATTCAGTTTTGAATTGAAGCATATTGTAGTTGCCAGTGAAAAAGTACAAAATCACATCAAATGTATTATGTTTAGTTTTGGATCAAAAGTGAGACTTGGCAATTCTATACTTACATTTAGTAAACGACCAATCTATTTTTTAAAAATTATAATCATTTAATTATTGAGTAAATTACAGTGAACTATTTTAATTTAATAAATTCAGCAATCATCAATATTTTCTCATCATACTGTCAAAAGTTATTATTTAGGGAAGAATTGAAAACTTTAAATTTTCACCCAACTATTAATTCAACACCATATAAATATAATGTATTCTAACCTACCTAAGTACCTTAGAATTTCCATCATTTATAACAATTTTAGAAATGGTAGTTTATATATGGCTGACTCAGAGCACTAATATAAAATAATCCGCATTCTCTATTCATGGAGAAATGGTCATATTTGTGAATCTACATATTTTACTATTTAACATGCTACTAGATCTATTTGAAGTTTTTTTTTTCAATAACATGTAGTCTAATCTTTTAAAAAGGCAAGGCAATCACCAATGTTACATACCTGTATTATGCAACTGTAACACATATTTTTACTCAAATCACTAATTAATCAGACAAATTCTACATGCAATCTCAGTCTATATAATGTCAAATAAAACACTTGTAAATTCATACACATAAATTAATACACATATTTATTAGGGAGAAAAGAAATTAAAAAACAGTGAAAGGATTTGAAAATTACATATGGTAAAAAAGAGTTTTAAGTAATGATATATACATTTGAATTTATTTAATATCATATACATATGGATTTGCGTCATAATATTTCAAATATCCAGATACGCTTTTCTAATTACTTATAAAATTTAGAACTGAGAAACAGTCCATAAATGAGCAGGGAAAGCTAGTACTTTTATCCACAATATAAGCCATTCCAATGAAGGCAGTTTTTCTGGTAAGTCACCATCAGTTTCTCCTTGGACTCTTAAGAGTTTCAAGCGACCCCTCTCTCATATGCCTGCTTAGAAAAGTATGACCTTCACAGATTAAAAACGTCATGAAAATTGTTAAAGATTAGAAGTCACTATACTTGTTGTTACAAATTCTAAGCAATAAAGAAATATTTAGAAGATACAAACACTGGTGATATTATTCTCTACTACTTAGCGAATATGTCTACCTCCTAAGTTTAGAAATCAAAAAGAGTTTCCAAAATATAATTATCAAGTAGCATGTTAATAAATATATTATTCACACTTAAATAGATTTATCCTATATATTTGTGACCCAAAATAATTTTATTATTCTAACAATAATCAGTATATTACTAATAATATTATTTTGGGTTACTAAAATCTGAGAGATAAAAATATATTAAAATATAAATAAAACATTTGTTATCATGCACATTCCCATCATATTTTTCTTACAAAGTATGCCTCTTTAGAACTTAAATGGATTCAGACAAAATAGTTTGTCAATGGATTTTATGGTCAATGTGTGTCACATGTCAATGTAGGTAAGTATATATCAATAGTAGGCAATATAGTTTATAATATAGTAACAAAATAATTTTTTAATTATAGAAAACATAGGTAGCCCAAATGGAATTTATATTCATTTGCACTAAAGTATACAATACATATTCAGCTTCACATATTCAGTTTCACTGATTGAAATTTCTTTCCCTTGTCTTCAGAAGTCCTGTTCTATTAAAAGAATAATTTGTAAGCTCAATACAAAAAAAAAAAAAATGAGTGGCAGAGCACTGACTTTTCAAAGAATTTTCAGATGCTATGCCTATATTAGCCAAATAAAATGTTTAAAAAATAGATAAAAATGGGAAAATTGACTCATTCATTGGTTGAATTGCCATGAAATGATCTAATTCTACTGATTTTCCTATTCTCCTGAACAGACTACCTATTGGGATTTCCTATTTGCTGTAGGCTGGACCTGATGAACATAAGCTTTCAGAGAGATTGCGGCTGACAAGACATTAGAGAGGGCTCTTTAGGGGTTCAGACTGAACTTGTATCTCTCTTTTATACCTGGTATAATAGCCTAAGGAAGTCTTTTGATGCCGTTGCAGCAGCAATTGCAGCAACAGCATTATCGGTATTGCCCCAGTGGGTAGTAATGCATCAGCCAACCATTACTAGAGAAACAGGAATGTAGAAGGAGTCTCAGAATGTAGGTGCAATGGCAGTAGTTACTCTATTTCACTTTCAGGAGCAAAACACTGCAGCCATCCTTTGCTTTAGAACTTTCTGTTTTGTCAAGCATGTCAATGTTAATTCATTGGCACTATTATCTAAACATTTGTTTCTAAAATAAGTAATATAAAACTTTATTTGTGACAGAAATTTAAGACATGTAAACCCATTTGCATGTACACTTTCAGAAAGTGCTTATTTTATGGAATCAGAAAGCTCCATTATTTTTTCAAATACAAAACTATGTTTTGTTTTCTTATGGTTTGCTTTTTGCTTTGCAAAGCAGTGTCAAAAATGTATATTCACATTTTTCCTTTAAAATTAAATTGTGTGTGGATACGTTTGCTAGTCTTAACTTCCTGAAAAATACTTTTAAAGTGCTATATCCCGACAAAAATTACCTATATTCCTGAACCATTTCTGATCTTTGCTTTTCATATGACTCATTAACAATTCACAACTTCTATAATTGAAACTCCTTCATGCTGTTTGGAAAGCCTTGCCTTAACACTTAACATTTGAGACAAAGACAATATACAGTTTAGAAGAAAAGTAAACATTTAAATATTATACATTAAGAGCATCTGTGTCTTTAAATAAAAGCTAAATATTCTAATTACTCTAAATGAAGTGAGGAAACAGCCTAAACCCTTCCTCATCATGCTGTAATGTTTTATGAAGAATTTTATATCCCATGTGTTGTGCTGTCATATCCTTCTGATATCAATATGGATGTGAAACAGTTCATGAATTTTGAGTGTACCGCAATATACTACCTAGATGACATCTCATAAAACTACCTTTTATGTCAGAAGGGTAAGTCAGTTCCATTTTATTACACATTTACTGGTGATATCAAAATATATTGAATAATGCATATTCTTTGCCCAGTAGTTTTTAGAACTTCATTGTAATATATCATATAATATTGCAATATATCATTGCAATTTAGCAATATATCATATAATATTCATGAATTGCTTCCTGATTGCTTTAATAAATGGATAATTAGTAACTAGGAACTTAGAACATATTTTTCTGTATAAGTAACTGTATCAAACATTGCAGAACTGCTGGTATATTTAAATATTTGTGCTTCGTTGAAATGAATGAAAGAATAATTCCTGGCTTAAAATGGCAGCCCAGATAATTCACTAAATAAAGTGAAGAACATATGGTCACAGATTTTATTTTTTGTGTGTTTGTGTGTGTTTTATTTAATCTAATTATATTACAATGGAAAAATCCACCAAACATAACTATTTTGGCAATAGTATGTAAGAAGTCAGAAACTGTAGTAAGTCCTCAAATTATTAAATTAAACATATAAAGTATAGAGAACATGTTGCAAATAAGTGTTTCAGAATTTCACACCTTATATATTAGAAAATATCACCACTTGAATCTGGGCAGCTTCATATTATTATTTATCAGTAAAACATATGAATGTCCATTCCAACAAAGAGTAACGTAGCCTATGTAAATTGTGTTATATTTTGCTGCCAAGTGGGTTACAAATAAACTTCTTATTTTAAACAGTTTTGTGTATTTAGATTTGCAAATAATAGATTTAACACTGTCAGACTAAATTGAATTGTACAGAAAAAGTATTAAAATAACTAACAAAGCAGAATTCAGTGTAAGAAACAGTAGAGAATTATGGAAGTGAAAACTATGCTTCAAAGTGCATCAAAAAGGGCATCTTACTTATGTGTAGTTTGAGTACCTTTATATTGCAATACTGAAGAACAACATTCCCCTGTATCTTTTAACTAAAAATCTAGGGAGGGGATTCAAATTTGTCATATGAAAATAGAGTGCCCTTCAAAAAGACGTGCTGGGCTCTTGATAACCTACCATACATTTCATTTACAGCTATTATACTTTGAGATTAATATATACACATTTCTAAAAGGAAGCATCAGGCATTGTTCATTTCACTTAGCACTCCAATGTAATACTACTTATAAATTGAACAATGCACAACGTGACAAAGAAATCCTTCTGTTGTTGTGGACTTTAAGAGGTTCAACAACTACTCTTATGGCTAGATGTGTAGAAGTACATTGTCCTTTAAGGACAGACTTATGCTCTTAATCATTTCCAGTTTATGCAGTGCTGGAATCAATTGCTGAATAAGTATGCTTATGTGAATACAACATTTAATACAAATTCGGGTTGAGTCAACCCCAGATAATGTTGTAGCATTTCTATTGTTGCTGTGTATATTATAGGACATCTCTGACCTAGGGCATCTAACTCACTATAATTTAGCAATAGATATTAAGCATCTCCAAATAACTACATTTTTATACATCTGTAGAACTGTGTATGGAGGTATTTTTTGAAGAATTTTTATCACTAATTCATCTGCTCCTAAAATTACTGTATTTTAATACAGTAATCAATTTACTGTGTTACTACTTGTCTTATTGAATCGGGAGATTTCTCTATGAATGGCATTTTGTAAATAATGTATTAGTAAACAGAAACATATTTAGAACAAAAACTGTGGTTTAAACAAAAAAAGTTGTGTTAGTACCTACTGTCATGTGGTAATTCACAGTAATTTTTTCTCTTAATAACTAATTTTGAAGAAACTAAATTTTATATAAATTGTGGACTGAAATAATTCCTGTGCAAAAATAAACTACTACTTGTCAGAGACACTAAATAATATCAATTAGTGTAAACTATTCATATAAAATACTGCTAGTGTATATACTAGTATGATATAAAGGCAAAGACTCTTCAAATGTGATTAGGGTAATACATTATTTATACTTGAAAAATATCTGTATATTACTTCAGAACGACTAATGGTAAAATATGTTTTAGAGAGAAACAATGCTAATTTGTATGTAAGGATGAAAAGGTATATTAGGGTGTCCAATCTTTTGGCTTCCCTGGGCCACATTGGAAGCAGAAGAATTGTCTTGCCCACACATAAAATATACTAATACTGACAATAGCTGATGAGTTTAAAAAAAATTCACAAAGGTTGGGCATGGTGGCTCATGCCTGTAATCCCAGCACTTTGGGAGGCTGGGGTGGGCAGATTACGAGGTCAGGAGATGAGACCATCCTGGCCAACATGGTGAAACCTCGTCTCTAGTAAAAATCCGAAAATTAGCTGGGTGTGGTGGTGCGCACCTGTAATCCCAGCTACTTGGGAGGCTGACGCAAGAGAATGACTTGAACCCAGGAAGTGGGGATTGCAGTGAGCTGAGATCGCGCTACTGCACTCCAGCATGATGACAGAGCAAGACTCCGTCAAAACAAAAAAGAAAAAAATCACACACAAAAAAACTCATGTTTTAAGAAAGTTTACAAAATTTGTGTTGGCCGCATTCAAAGCCATCCTGGGTCGTATGCAGGGGATTGAACAAGCTTGAGGTACATGTTTCATAAGAACAATTCATTTTAATTAGGGAGACGTTTTAAAGAATTCATTAGAATGAAGACTGAAACTAATCAAAATAGTTCACATTACCTGGTATCAGTTGATCTTGATAATTTTTAAGATGAAAAAGTCAGATTTAGTGCAAGAAGAATTTTTGTTCAAAATGCTAACTCCAAGTGTATTCATTTACATATATTTTATATTATTCCCCAGAATTTCCTATGAAGAGTCTAAAAGAGTAATAAATGATGTGTCCATTGTCACATAACTAAAAATAGCGAGTACTTCTAAATCCATGCCTTTCAGCTACAAGTCATTACTCTTTCTATAAAGCAACATGAGCCAGTATAAAATACAAATGCCTATGTTTTCTTTGGAAAGAAAGCAAATTAACATTTTTTACAATAGAATGGAGGTTGAATATTTTAAAAAATCATAATAGTAAAGTAGGAACTGATATTGACAGACTCCATCCTTACTAAAGTCCAAAACTACAAAAAAATTGTTCTTTATTTTGAATCATAAAAGAAAGAAGCTATACTTATTAAAGAGGTTTTTGGCAAAGATATTTTTGTGTCAACATTTTTTACTATTAATATCTACTAAACACTTTATGTAAAATAACAATGTTAATTATGATCTTATAACTATTTTTCTATTTTTCTAGATAAAAAATGTGTCACATGGAGCCAATTGCACATAAGAAATACCAAAATTGTGATTCAAAACCAAGCTTGTTTCACTGCAATATCAAAGTTTTTGCTACTATTCTACATTATTAATAACTACTAATTTTATTATATAACTTAGTAAACATAACATCAACTTTGATGGTATGAAATAGTTATTTTTAAAAAGAATGTTTAGATCTTGTCTTCCCCTTTAGAATGTGGGTACTCCTAAATTTTTCAAGTGCTTTTATGTAGACATTAATATATAAATATAAATTGGCTATAATACATTAGCAGTGTTTTAATCATGCAATTAGCAGAAAAGGCATATAAGTATCCTTCCACCCATATTCAGGTACAAATGAAAAGAAAATGTTCAATCTCAGTTCCATTGGCCTTGTTGCTTGCCCTAGTCTGTACTAGATAAGTTACATACAATTTATTATTCCCTACTCTAAATTCACAGATAGGATTTAAAGTGTTCTTTAGAATACTAAATGGCTGTCATATTTCTCCTTACTCACAATAACCATTTCTATGTCATTTCTCAGATGATTTGAAGAAAGTATTACATTGCACTTAGATTTTCAGTTTTAAGGACTATTTTGTCAGAGTCAAGTGGCTCTTCATTTAAGATCAACAAAGAGTTGTCTACTGATTAGAGTGTAAACCAGCACTTCTTGATGAATATATTATTGTTTCTCTAACGTTTTTAAGGTAACCCTTAAACTTACGATGTTGGATCTGTGTTTTAACAATGCCAAGAAGCACAAATATATCAATCACTTAGCACTGCAATCTAATACTATTTGTAAATTGAACAATGCACAACTTGACAAAGAAATCCTTCTGTTATTGTGGATGCTAAGAGGTTCAACAACTACTCTTATGGCTGGATGTGTAGAAGTACATTGTTCTTTAAGGACAGACTTATGCTCTTAAGCATTTCAAGTTTATGCAGTGCTGGAATCTATTGCTGAATAAGTATGCTTGTATGAATACAACATTTAATACAAATTCGGGTTGAGTCAACCCCAGATAATGTTGTAGCATTTCTATTGTTCCTGTATATATTATATGACATCACTGACCTAGGGCACCTAACTCACTATAATTTAGCAATAGATATTAAGCATTTCCAAATAACTACATTTTTATAAATCTATGGAACTATGTATGGAGGTACTTTTTGAAGAGTTTTTATCATTAACGCATCTGCTCCTAAAATATACCTACAATTAGCTTAGTGGAATCGATAAATTAAAAAAAAATAAATACATGATTTAATAAATGAATAAAACAATGAGCTATAAGGCACCACTGATTCATATTGAATATTCTTCATGAAGCCTACTTCTATACAGCTCTCATAATCTACCAATAAATGTTGAGTGGTGATCTTACCTTAACATGATTAATAAATTGCATCTGTATATATACCAAGTTTAGTATACTAAAAGAATCTAGTAATTGTTCAGTAATTGTTCTATAATCCTTCATTAATAATCTGAAATGGTTTTAAGGACCATTTTAATATATTATGTTCTTTTCCTTTTTAAAATAAATACAAATATTCAGGTTTTAATTATAAAAGTCTTAGATTACATTATCAGTTATATATCAAGTATTTTCAACACATATTTATCAAATTCATTTTTCTTCAAGGAAGCACATTTGCATTTAACTCAGATAAGTTTAAGAAATAAATAGGAAAGCTGACTATCACCATAAGAATCTCATTATATTCAAGGAAATTATTGGATGTGGCAATATTCTGATAATAAAAAAATTTTAAGAGTAAAATTTAGCTAAAGCAGAGAGATCTAAAAGAATAATATAAATCTTTTATTGATCAACACATAATGGATTCTAGTGGGGTTATTAACTCTACATGGGCTTAAAGTTTCCAGTCAGGGGAACAAAATTGAAACATTGTTTATTCCAACTGCATAGACATAGTCACCCCTAATTTTTACCAGATGCATGACCTTAGACAGCTTGCTTCACTTTTCTAACCTCCAATTCTTTTTTTTTCATGTGTAATTGGGCATAATGCTCATCTTAGACTGTAAGGATTAAATTTAACAATGTGTGTAAAGTACCTAGCATAAAGCCTGGAACATTGTAGGCTCTCATTAAGTGTTAATAATTATGAAAATAGACTAAAATGGCTTATTGACTAATTGGGGTCATAGGCCATTTATCATCAAAAATACATTTGAGCTGATTTTCCACAGCATACCAATAGATTCATTGTGACCAATATAAATAAAATGTTCACAGGGTGATTCATGTACAATAAAATCAGTAAAATTATCTTTTTGGAAACCACATTGTATTGAGTTTTGTGTATAAAAGCTACAGATGAGTCTAAATAAAATAAAAATTGTAATTTAGCCACAAATGCTGAACTAAGTCAGATACCTCTAGTCCTATAATGGAATAAGCTCTATGATATGTGTTAGTATTGCATATGGTATGATTGTAAGGTTTTTGGAAAGCAGTTTAATATGCCAGTCTTGCATGTGAGCAGATGAGTTTTCTCCTTGAGCTGGATGTCTCTTTGAAAACTATCAGTCACCTAGAAAATATATTTGTCCTCATATGGGCAACTAGGTCTAGGAAAGCAGGGTGTAGGGAGAGGTCTTAGATTCTTGGGTTAACAATTTAACAAAGGAGATTTGGCTATCACAGTCATCTAGTGAAAGTAGAATAGGACAGAAAAGACCTTGTAACTTGGGAAATAAATGTTATTTTCTTAGTTTATTTAGACTTTGATATTCCTCTTTTATTGCGGTAAAGATTTTCCAGAACTCCAAATTTCTACCAGCTGTAGTTAAAAGCAATTAGGGAAGAGACATCCAGGTTTGGGGAATATATTTTACAAGAGAGTGTACCTCAGACCAGCATGAGAGTGGCAGCAAGAAGTTACTCAAAAATCTTTTACACTTCAAGAGACAAGTTTAATTTATGTGAGATATAACTAAATCACTCAATATGGAATTCTTAATTTAATTGTACACTTTAGGAACTTAAATGTTTATTTTTATACAATTGAATAAACCATTTATAGACTAAAACAAATAAAATGGACACTACATATGTTATGCTGATTAAATACAAAAGTACTGCATACTCCAGAAAGGGTATAAAAGTGTAACAATGTTAGACATTCTGTTAAATCTCTTGGTTTCTCCTGGCTAAGATGGAGTTTTAACTTTATCATATAGAAATCATAGTGTCTTCTCGTTATCTTCAAAGCAAGTTTAACAAAACAAAGTGGTTCACAAGTCACAAGTAGAACTATAGATCTCTTGCTTTCAAGTTTCTAAATTTATGATCAGGGTTACACATCAGAATAAAACATCATTACACCTAACAAAGTTACTTTTCTTTAAAAAATATTTATTTAGACATTTTTAAGTAGTTCAATTTCTGACAAAATTGTAATGGTTATTTAAAAGTGATTCCATTATGAAAACAAATGAATTAGTAAAGCATAGTTGGGAAAATTAAAAATCATGAGGAAATCTTCAATAAAACCAGGTAATAAACTATCTCTACTGCACCCTGAATATGGTTGGTAGGACAAATTACAAACAATAAGTTTCTTGCAAGACTAGCACATTAATAAAAAACAAATTGTTTTACTTGGTAAAAAACATGACAGTGAAAAATATTTTTGCTTAATATCTAAATTTTAAAAATTTGTTTAATATATAACTACATAAATTGTGCTTTGTCAGTTATTCAAATGAACACATCTAATGTAAAAATAATAATTTATGTTCCATAAAATAATGAGAAAATGCATAGATGAAACCACACACAGCTATGCCGTGTCACTCAGCCACAGGTCTGAGACTTCTAGCATTGTACTCTGTTCTAAGTGGATGAAGTACTAACTTGAGGAAAACTGCCCAGAGTGTTTTTGAAATTAAGCAGGCTGGAAACACCGAGAATAGAGAAAATGAGTTTTAGCATCTGGAAATAAGAGGTCTAAAGAAGTCTGATCTCAGCTCTATGGAAACAGCTATATTTAGAGCCCTAATATTCCTAACATTTTGTAGTAAATATAGACCGCCCTCAAGAAGTAAAGATACAAAAACTGCGCTGACACAAGAATCTTTCTCTAAAATATAATATAGTCGTGTATCATAAAGACAGGGATATGCTCTGAAAAATGCATTTTTATGCAATTTAACTGTAGCAAAAACATCATATATAACACACCTAGGCTTAAGAGATAGGCTATTGCTCTTAGGATACAAACCTGTACAGGATATTACTGCACTAAATGCTGTAGGCAATTATAACACGATGGTAAGTATTTGTGTATCTAACATACCAAAACATAAAAAAGGCATAGTAAAAATACAGTGTAAAAGATAAAAAATAGTACATCTCAATAAAGCGCTTTCCATGAATGGAGCTCTTAGGAAGGACTAGAAGTTGTGCTGGGTAAGTGATTAGTGAGTGAATGTGAAGGCCAAGGACATTACTGTGCACTACTGTGGACTTTATAAATACTGTACACATAGGCTACACCAAATTAGTTTCTAAAACTTATTTCTTCAGAAATACAATAAACTTGGATTACTGTGTCTTTTTTTACTTTTTAAACTTTTAATTTTTAATAGTTTTTTTACTCTTGTAATGACACTAATCTTAAAGCACAAACATATTGTACAACTGTACAAAATAATTTCCCTTCTTTATACTGTTATCCTATAAGATTTTTTCTATTTTTTTTCCTTTTTGTTCTTTTTTTGTTAAAAACGAGAAACAAACACAAACACATTAGCCTAGCCCTACACAGGTTCAGGATCATCAATATCATTATCTTCCACCTCTACATTTTATCCCTCTGGAAGGTCTTCAGGGGCAAAAAAATATACCTGGAGTTGTCATCTCCTAGGAATACAATGCCTACTTCTGAAATACCTCCAGAAGGACCCGCCTGAGGCTGTTTGATACTTAACATTTTTTTCAATAAGTAGAAGGAGTCCACTTTAAAATAACAATACAAAGTACAGTATAGTGAATACATACACCATATATCATTTTCAAGTAATATGTACTATACATAATTGTATGTCCAATGCTTTTACATGACTGGCAGTGCAGTAGACTTCTTTACACCATCACCACAAACATGAGTAGCGAATATTGTGTTATCTAGGATGTTAGGAAGGCTACAGCATCACTAAGCAATAGAAATTTTTGAACTCTATTATCATCTTGAGGGACCACTATCATATATGCAGTCCAGCATTGACTGAAACATCATAATGTGGTACATGACTGTATATGAAAACATTATTACACAGGAGATGTATAAAGTTTAGATTGAACTCCATATAGAATATTTAATAAAAGATACAAAACTAAATATCACATGTACTGAAAAATAAAAAAAAGAAAAATGATAACACAACAGATGAGATTACATGCTAACATTATAAAATGAGCTAAAAGGCATTATTAAAAACTGTTAAAAGTCATGACAAAACAGCAACTGAAAATACCAAAGTTAAAAATGTTGTGACTGAACAATGAGAGAGTATGAATAGATAATTGAGAGAATCCAAGGAAAAAAAAATCTCAGAAACAAAGTCTTAACTACATACTACTACAGTAAACATCACAAAAATTATGATAACCAAACTAGAGAACAGAAAGTTGAATAACATATTAATTAAACAGAAATTAAAATAGGAAACAAATTTGATGGAAAAAGGAAATATAGAAAACAGATACAGGAGATTCAACATACCTATTATTGGAGATGCCAAAAAAGTAAACCAAAGCAATGAAAAAAGATAAATTGATGATAGATTGATAAATGAACAGATAAACAGAAAAACAAATAAATGTAAAGGAATTTTTTTGAAATAAAAAAGACTACACGTAATATGAACTATTTAACTAGAATCATACTGGAGAATAAAGAATTATTCACAAAATTAAAACAGGGGCATTTTCTAATAAGCAACAAAAATCATATTGAGTAATAAATTTTAAAAAATAATGAAAAATTTAAACAGTCACAAAAATAATAATGGGGCATTTTCTAATAAATAAGAAAAATAATATTGAATAACAAATTTGAAAAATGTAAATCTACTCGGACATCCAAAATAGAACAGAATTAATCATTAATTAGGAGAAAATCAGGTTTGGTATTAAAATTATTAAAGGCAATACTTCATAACAGAAGACAAGATAGGGACATGTTTAAGTAATGCAAGGAAAGAAAAATAGAGAACCAAGGTATTATATCAAATCATATCATACCCAGCTCAGTTTACCTTCAAGTGTAAAGCACACAAATAATAATGAATATTAGAGCAAACAAGCAGAAAAACAAAACCCTGGAGTACAATTCTTGAATGCTTTTTGAGGAACCTATTAAAGTATAAACCTTGTATAACCAAAAAATAATTGGAGAGACTATGATGAGGTATCTGTTGCTTAGTATTGCATGCATATATACTAAGACATCTTATGAAAATAAAGGTTAGTTATCCTGACTAGTATAGTAATTCCTTTCTTTACCTATTCATTAACAGCACAAGAAGCTCAAAGTGATCAGATAATCATCATAGTTTCAGGTTTAGCAGACACAATTCTGAGCTCACTAGAAGAAGTGTCATTACTCCTGAAAATCAAGATCCCTAATCCAGCAGAATTTGAACTTGTGGCGACAGGAAGCCGACCTTTTGAAACTGGGTTAAGAAATGATGGTGAGAGGGGGTCACTCCTATCACCACCGTATCAGTCCATTCTCACACGGCTATAAAGATACTACCTGAGACTGGGTAGTTTATAAAGGAAAGAGGTTTAATTAACTCACAGATAAGCATGGCTCCGGAGGCCTCAGGAAACTTACAATCATAGCAGAAGGTGAAGGGGAAGCAAGGTAACTTCTTCACAGGGCGGCAGGAAGGAGAATGAATGCAGAAGGAACTACCACACACTTATAAAACCATCAGATCTTGTGAGAATTCACTCACTACCATGAGAACAGTATGATAAGGGAACCACCTCATGATTCAATTACCTCCACCTAGTCTCTGCCTTGACATGTGGGGATTATGGGTATATGGGGAATTATAATTCAAGATGAGATTTTGATTTTTGTGGGGACACAATCAAACCATATCAACCGCCCACTATTTCCTAAACCCTTGTATTCTAGCCATTGAGGACAGAGCGTTAAAGTATAGAACCAAGTTGACTGCAAGTCTCTGTCCAGAAAGAAAATTTTCTCTAACTGACATCTATCAGACTATCCCTGATTAGAGCTATACTGCAGTGGCTTTTGATTTGGGGCTATCATAATTAAACAAACCAAGAAGTAAATCTCATTGTTTATTTTTTTTTTCCTTTCCTTTTGTTTTTTTTTTTTTCCTTCATGGGAAATCACACATGAGAAAATGTGTGCAAATGAAGCATCAATACAACAGAGGTAAGCACGTGAGTTAGACTACTTGTTTAATTATGTAGCTTACTTGTTCCTACTGGACACGCTTTGGCCTGATCATAAGCATATAATGGTGTCATGGAGAAAAAATATTTTTACCTTACCCATCTTAGATTCTTCAGCTGGTACTTTGTAAATCAGATTAACAAAAGGCAAATTAAGAAGAGAAAAACAGTTTATTAATGTGTGCAGTACACATTACACCGGAGGAACCTCCATGCTGAGTTACTCAAAGGGTTGATTAGAACTTGTGTTTATACAGTATCTTAACAAAAGAACAATACATTTTTAAAGAAGCTACAAGACAAAGGAAAAGTGTTTTATGCTTTCAAAGATGGCAAATGGTAGGAAGGCAAATGTTACATATGTGGGGAAAGTAATGGAAGATAAGTGTTGTTTATTCAGGTTGCTTTCGTGCTCACTTTCTATTTCCTTCATTGCCATAAAGCTTTCTTTGGAGTAGAAATTTTGATAGTTCTAATTTTTCAGAGGTTTCTGCTTTCATTCAAATAGAAGAAGCTCCAACAAGGCTTCCTTCTGCATCTGTTATTTCTGATTTATCTTTAGTTCAAAATTATTTTTATGCCAAGGTGGCGTATTTTGAGGTGGCATATTTTGACCCCCTGCACATGCATATTATAAGATGAATTTCTACTTTGCCTGGCTAATGTTTTAACAATACACAGCTCTTCTATTTGTTCAGAATCCCATGGCCTGGGGCTCAACCTCTATTATGGCCAAGTAGCTGATCAAGAACTTTTTCTCCAAAAGCAAGGAGTTCCCTCCTTGCTCTGGAATTCCAGTAATCTACAACTCTCCAACTGGTGGTCCCAGAGACCCACACAGCATCTCTTACCAACCGTGAATAGTCTGTTACCAATCCATCTGCTGAATCATATAGCCAAAGCTTCATGGTAGGTTACAACACACTTTACAGCCTTAATTTGCTGGAGGCCTTTCTCTCTCTGGGTCTAAATAGAAATTAGTAGCCTCATGAATAATGGCATGAATTAGTATTACTCAAAGCTGTATATGAATACTTCAAGTCAAAATAACTCAGCAAGCACTAGACCTCTCATTTTATTAAAGGTGCAAGTTTCAGCAACTTATTTTTTTAAATCATACACAGGATGTCCCAGCATGGGTCAGATTATGAAATTCCTAAGGTTTTGCCGAGGTAACAGATTTCTGAATGCTCAAAGTTTATGTCTTGCCCTTCTTCCAAAATAGCTAGAGTAGCTTTGAGATTTCTGACTACCAAGTCAATTAGCCTAATAGTGCCACCATAGCAGACTAGCATGATGTTCTGCAGAATATACATGCATAAAAAAAACTAAGTCCAGGCTCAGCGGCTCATGCCATTAATCCCAGCACTTTGGGAGGCCAAGACAGGCAGATCGCTTGAGCTAGGGAGATTGAGACCAGCCTGTGCAACATGGTGAAACCCTGTCTCTACAAAAAATACAAAAAATTAGCCGGGCATGGTGGTGAACACCTGTAGTTCCAGGTACTCGGCAGGCTGAGATGGGAGGATCACCTGAGCCCAGGGAGGTTGAGGCTGCAGTGAGAGTGAGCCATGATTGTGTCACTGCACTTCAACCTGGGTAACAGAGTGAGACCCTGCCTCAAAGAAAAAATAAAAATAAAAAAAGAAAGAAAAAGAAAAAAATTGAGATCCCTGTAGGCTATCATGTAACAGAGAACAGGAAAGTTAACATAACTTTAAGCAAGAAAGTATATATGTACTTCTGTTTTATAATTATATTTCTTGCTTTGTCTAAACATTTTTTACTCCTAAATCATTTTAAATAATAAGTACATATCATATTTTAATTTCCACTTACACTAGTCACCTCTTTTTTCACAGTTTTCTCCTCTGACTCTGGAATTTTATTGTCCACATTTTTAAATTCTTCCTTTGCCTACTCTTTTTCAGAATTTATCAGCAGACTCCTCTAACACACACATACTGAAGAATGAAAATGTCAAAATTCCTATTATAACTTTTACTTTCTCTGCCCTTCCTTTTAGATTCTAACTTGATCATGTTTTATGTAACACAATTTGACAATAACAATAGACTAGAAGGCCTCTTCAAGTTACTATGAAAGTCACACGTTACACAATATTATATATTATACATATATAATGGCTAAAAAGCTACAGTTTAGTAAAAGAAATGTCATTTATTCCAGACTAGAAGTTATGGAAGATCTCCTGCATGATCTGTTTCCAGAGTTCAGTCTTCATCAAAGTATCATCTAAAGTGTATTTTGAATTTTAATTTGTAACTTTAAAAAGCAAAGCAACTACACGTACAATTCTGCAAACTAAACAGGCAAAGTAATTAAAACACTGTGTTAAACTTTAAGTTACAATGATTTTAACATATAATCCCAGGTCCTATTTAAATTTTGGTTAAAATGAAATGATCTTCTGCTGTAATAAAATATGAAGGGTATGAAATTAAAGGAAGATAAGTTAACAGGACTTCTGTAAGAACAACCAATTAACTTTTATATATTGAATGTGAGAGAACAATTATCTAGGGTAAACAGAATTTCCAAATACATAGGATTATAAATATTGATAAACACATTTAATATTTAAAGTATAACTCTAATGTAAAGATATGGAATAACTGTAAAGCAAAATAACATGAAACATTGACTCCGGAATTAATTATAAAAATCATACTCAAAAGTAGACATTGATAATGTGAAATTTGTAAGAAATATTTTAAATTGTGGTATATGCTTCTCAAACTTCTTAAGTAAATGATAATGATCTAACTCACTTTTTTTGCCTGATTAAACTTATTATATCACTTATGAAAAAATAGACATATTTTTCCAGATTTTCTCTACCTCCTGATGATAAAATTAATGTTAAGTTTCCTTAAATTATTAGACAAAGAAAAATTATTGAAACAAAAGTACCTATCCATATCGTGAAAATCTAATTCACATCTTTAGCATAATTAATTCTTAGTAGAAAAAAGAACTTAAAGGTACTTAAAATTGGTGGGAATTATTTAAAATGTACTTATTGAACTCTATTCCTAAAATAACTATTCAATGCTCATCCCCCTACTCAGTAAATATTTTTAAAAGGTAACATATATTGAGTTAATATTCCCTGACATTGTGCTTTCCTTGCAACTACTGACCATAAAATTAGCACAATTTTGCTAATTGATTCTAGTTTTATCTCCCTAATCAGTCAAAGCAGAGTTAAAAGTTAGACAGCAGATTTGGAAATAGAATTCAATGTCTGGGTAATTTATAAACAAAGCAGGTGGGAACAAGTTGCAATGATATAGTATGTCTTCACTGCAAATTCTCATAAATCAGAATTTTAGAAGTAGGGCATCCTAGATATGATTTAGTCCACTGCATTGTTATAAAGATTATAATATGAAATGCTAAAAGATTAAATAAGTGCCCAAGGGTCTTCCATTATTAGATGCAATGCTTCATTTTAATTTTTTAGACTTTTCTTGCAGTGTCCTTTTCCAAGATATTGTATTACCTCTATATCTAATCAATTGTTTTAAAATTGTTTAATCAGATTGTTGCAACTGCTATTTCTGTAGATTTAGGTTAAAATACAGAGAGGTGAAAAATACACCCAAAATTATACATTCAAATATTAATTTAAGACTTAATAAATATTTTCCATTATCACAGGAAAAGCTAAAAAAATTAAAAATATGAAAATGAATGTTAGTAGTAAGCAATGTTTGCAAATGTGTGAAAATATGTGTTCCAATGTTCACTCTTAACAGCATAGCGGAGAGGCAATTTGTGGTTAGAGCCAGTTTAAGAGATATACACTGTTCGAGTTCAGAATATGATAACCCCAAAATATTGCATCTCTGTATACCAACTATTTTAAGCTGAAGGAAATTGAGAATACCATAGAAGCAGAAATGTCACTCTCCGAGCTTCACCCTCCCTTCTCCCCTGAAGACCTTCATGTGACAGGTGTCCTGCCTAATACCTAGAAGGAATAAATGTCAAACAGGGAATCCAAAAAGAATCTGGTCAAACAGGCTTTGCTAAGTTCCCCCCCAGTTCACTAACATTAGATCATACCCTTTTAACCTCCAACCATACTTCTGCAGAATGGTCCAAAAAATACACAGCTTTCCCTGAGTCTTGGGGCCTTTATTTCTGAAAGCCCTCATAAAACTCTGGTTACATAAATTTGCTATGTTTTTATCTTGTTAATCTGTCTTTTGTTATAGGGGTCTCAGACATGAACTTTGTGAAGGGTGAGAAAAAGAAATTACTGTTTATCCCTTATAACAACACTAATACATAAATTTTAAGAATTGGAAAAAATAAAGATGTGTTTTTTTTTTTCCCCAACACATGGTGGGCTGATACCTTCTTGCTTCTTTTAAGTATGGTCATGTTACTTCTTGGACAAAAAAATAAGAGTGACTCTCAAGTGTGCCAATTCTAAACAGAAGTTTTCTAAACTGATACATGATTCACCAGTGATATCCAGATGTTTGATTCTGTCACCCTGTGAGTCCAAGTAAAAACTAAATGCACAGAAAACTTCAGACAAGCAGCAATATATGTGAACAAAAACTATCTTAACTATTTCAAGATACTGACAGTTGAGGAAATTAGTCTGTCTTGACTGAATAGTGTCTGTCTATATAAAAAGATGAAATAAATAAAGTAGCATAAATGTCTATGACCAAATTAAATTGAACAAACCTGTATCAAAATAGTCACTTTTAATATAATTATCATTTATTTTTAATTTGGTTCTCAAAACATTTATCTCTCTCAAATAAGTTAATTTCTAACATTGAAGAGGTAAAGATGTAATTAATAAACACTCTCAAAATACAAACTATTCAGTAAGAAAAACAATAAACATGTATTAAAATTGAAAAATAATAAAATTAATGGGTTAATAATTAGAGTGACATACAGCTTTCTATAAATAAAAAACATATAAACACACATTCATTAATATTAAAAATATAGGCGCACAGAAAGCTATTACTTCCAGGTTCTGGCCTAGCATATGGGAAATTCAAAAGTCAAACTTAGTCTTAAAACAAGTAAAAGATGAACAAATTAAAGATCAACAACTGTGTCTGATCTTTCAAATAACTGTGGCCATAGGGCAAACTGCTGACCAAAATTGGAGAGACGGACTGATGGATGCAGAGCATCACAACTCACCAGAATAGAGACCCACAAGCAGAAAACTCTGCAGAAACCAGTATTACTAGGTTCCTCTTATCCAGTACATTATGTTTGACTTTCACAAATAGAAACTTACAAGGCATACCAAAAAGCAAAAATACCCCACCGTTTGAAGAGACAGAGCAAGTATCAGAATCAGAGTCAGGTGGCAGAAGTGTTGGAGTTATCAAACCAACAATTTTTAAAAATTATGGTTTACATGCTGAGGGCTCTAGTGGAAAAAGTAAACAAGTAAGAACAGATAATTAATGTAAGAAAAGAGATGCAATTTTAAGAAAGAACAGAAAATAAATGTTAATGATCAAAACACTGTAACAAATGAAGAATGTCTTTCACGGGGTAATCAGAGACTGGATATGGAAAGAATCTCTGAGCTTGAAGACATGACAATGGAAACTTCCAAAACCAAAAAGCAACAACAAAAAAAATGCACATAATATTCAAGAATTTTGGAACAACTACCAAAATTGTATTATATGTATAATGAGAATAGCAAAAGGAAAAGAAAGAGAGAAAGGAACAGAAGAGATATTTGAAGCAATAACAGCTGAGAATTTCTCCAAATTAATGTCAGACATCAAAGCCAGATCCAGAAAGCTCGGTGATAAGAAATCAGGAAAACTACCAAAAAAGAGAAGAAGAAAAACAATAAAATCCCTAAAACCAAACAACAAAATAACAAATTACATCTAGGCATATCATTTCGAAATTACAGAAAATCAAAGATACTGAAAAGATAGACATTTAACAAATAGATACCTCTCCACAAAGGCACCTTACTTTATACACACTAAATACATACACTTGCTATTATACACTAAATATATTAAGTAAGATGTGTTTGCAGAGAGATACCTATTTAGATTTTAAAGAATTACGTAAATATTATACTTCAAAAATTAGTGTAAAAGATGAGCCAAACATTCAAGGTAGTGAGCAAAGGCAGATCTGTGTTCTGATGACAGAAGGGAGAACATAGTGAGTAAGTGCACTTATTTGTCTGTTCATTGAGTAGTGAGAGTGAAGAGGGAAGGAAAAGGTGAGGGAGAGGGGGAAAAATACTGGCGTTTCAAATACTTTAACAACCTAATGTTACAAAATGCAAGCTTGGAATAATCAAAGGTGAGGACAGGGTGAAGTGCCACTGAGAGTGTTATAAAAAGGAAGATCATTTACATTTACATTTTAAAGAAGAACACTCTGCACTTTGGGAGGCCGAGGCGGGTGGATCACGAGGTCAGGAGATTGAGACCATCCTGGCTAATACGGTAAAACCCCATCTCTACTAAAAATACAAAAAATTACCCGGGCGTGGTGGTGGGCACCTGTAGTCGCAGCTACTCGGGAGGCTGAGGCAGGAAAATGGCGTGAACCCGGGAGGTGGAGCCGAGATCGCGCCACTGCACTCCAGCCTGGGCGGCAGAGCGAGGCTCTGTATCAAAAAATAAATAAATAAAAATACATTAAAAAAAGAACATTATGATGGTACTGAAGAGGATAATGTGAATTGGGATGACATTGAAAGCAGGCAGATCTCTTACGGGCTATCTCTTGGTGGATTTTGTCAAATTGAGATGGGTATGCAAGGATATGGCATAGAAAGTCACAGGAATATTAGACCAATGAAGAATGGAAGGAGGAAATACCTTGCAATAGTTAAAAAAACATGGGTTTTGAAAACAAATAGCTCTTCTGTGTATCTGTCTATAAAAGTATATATAGAGAGATACAGACAGAGATACAGACAGACACAGACTCAGACACAGATCACACACCTACACACACACACACGCACAGTTTTCAGTTGTAAATTAAGTACAAATAAATTCATTGAACTGTGAAGCTTCAAGGAGTTATTCATTCAAGAATGGTTTATTGGCCTTTAAAACATGCTAGCAGTTTAATAATTTTTAGCTATATATATTTAAATGTACTTAAACATTTTCTATATGTTATCAGCTATATTTGATATTTCCAGATGTATTATCTTAGAAGAGTAAATTTATTCTTCGTGTCATAGTTTTGTTTACTTATTTTGGTTATTTATTGTTTCAAATACCTGAATTTTTAAAAAGTTGAATGAAATTAGTGTGAGATTCCAAATATTTCATCCATTGCTAGTTAAAAACTCATTTATGACTTTTTTATAGAAGACTCTGAACAAAAGGAAATAATGAACAAAATTTTCCATTGTTGTACAATGTTTAAGTTGTATTTCAGTTTTGCAAATTTTAAAATCTATAGCAGACTTTCTAAAATTACAAAAGAATTACATAAAATGATTTTAAAATAGAGGATTTTGAATGTTATGTTGTTTCATAAAATAATTAGCAATAAAATGAGAACATTTTGCAGATTGCATTGCTTATAAATTATGTATATATCATAAAAAATCTTTTCACTTCAAATAATTTTCCATAAATCTTTTAAATTGTTATCTGTGAAAAATTACAAACCAAGGTTCGTTTTTGCTTCATAGTCTACATCTCTTCTTATCTAGATACTTTCTCTTATTTTAGCAAACATTTTGCAAATTTGTATTTGTATTTGTAAAATATTTGCTAAAATATAGTATTGGTATTATTATAAATTTGGTATTATTTAATAATCACTCATATGAGTAAACAATATATAACTGTTATTTAGTAAATGAAAGAATATTAAAACATCAAATATTCTCTAACATTTTAAATATTCAAAATATTTTGATATTATTGTGCCTTTAAATATAAAAAAGATAAACGTTTCAAAAATATGTGTATGTCTGTGTATATTCTTTTATTAGTTATTAGTTTTAGCATAAGTAATTAGAATTTAAATTTCAGGATTCTAAATTTGTATTAAACAATTGATATTTTCATATTTTTTCAAAATCTAGGAGGTTTTGTTTACACATTTCTATCTTATGCTTTTAACAGTTATTGAGATTTTGACATTTGATAAAATATGTGGCACATGAAATATCTCTACTGCAATTAAGAAAGAATACATTTAGTGTATTTTTAAGGTACTTTCCTAACATATTTAAAAGAGAGTGGCCTTTATTTAAACAAAAAGTCCAAAGTGCAGCAGTGAATGCAATAATTACATAACCAATATGTTTGATTGAAGATAGGAAACCTATATCTTTAGATGTTAAGAGAGATTAAGAGTACCACATAAGATGAATATTTCTTTTTTCTTTCGTATGAATGTGGTTTGATTCTTCATTGCTATATGTTATACGTCAGAGTAAATGTAAAGGGGGATTTATTATAATCATTGTCAGAGTGCTTTGTACAGCACATTTAAAATGTAAAATTCTCATCTAAAATTCAGGACATTATTTTATGAAGAAGGTATACTATATCCAGAAGTCAAACTATATTTCTGTGATGAGTTAGTACCTTGGCTCTGATAAAATAAGAAAATGCTATTACCCTTCAATATGTAAATCATCATTAGACATACTGCAAACCCATATATTAATTATGAAATTGTTTTTTTATTGTGCTTTTCAATAAAATCTTCATTTAGTTCCTCAGTGTAGCTGCTAAAAATAGAGTTTTGAAAGTATCTGTGAAAGATTTTAACCACATCCATATATCACATAAAAATGTCCAGAACTTCTTGTTTTCTGTTATTTACAGGTTTTAAATGCTTTTATTAAACTTGAAAAGGGGATGATAAAAGCATGTGTACTGATTTCCAAGCAAAGACATTTATCCTTATAAATGCTCTTGCACTGGTTAACAGCATAAAAGTTTTTCTAACATTTAAAGCCTTTTTAAAGAAAAAAAGCAATGAAACAGAATCCTCAATATTATGACGTGTTAAGTGCTGCTGGTAGTGTTTAGAAAAATACTAAGTAATCAAAGAATGTGGTGAGACTTAGGAAGTTTAGTAAACAAAACTGTCTTATATACCAAACTTTTCATTGAAATATAAAGTTTAAGAAAGAAAACATAAATATGTTTGATGATAGAGTAAATTAGATACATAAATGATCAAAACTTTCAGTAACGCAGACATGTTTTTGCTTTGTTTTAAAATGCACATCTTAAAATAAATTACAAAATATGAGTGTACCATATTCTAATATAATAAAGTTACACAGATCTTTTCTATATCTAAACAACTTAAACCAGGGGGAAATGGAAGACAAGGTTCAATTTTACTTTTTTCCATTTCTTTTCAACTCTTTCTGAATATATTAAGTATATTCAGAAAAGTAGCCCAAATGAAATCTTAAAAATGTTAGCAGACCCTTATTTTTGATAAATTCTAGAATACCATGGTGGGGTCAAGAGAGATCTTTAAAAAGTACTTGATATATTTTCTTCTTTTGTTCCTCTTCTGAGTTTATGTGTAGTACAATGGGAGGACAATGATATATGTGCTAAGCCAGTTGGTATTGAGACATCACAACTTGAGAGTGTGATTTGATGCACACAGCAAGTTTGCCAACCTTGGTCCCATATGAAACCTTGAAATAGCCCTGAAACTCAGCTCCAGCCCCTCTCAGCTGCAGTTTGAGAATATTCTTGACCACACAGAGTTTCAGTAGGAGACATGCCTGCCAGTGACCCCAGAAGCGGGCCCACTGACCTAGATCCCACTATGGATCTTCAAACAGCATTGTAAATTGGCTCCTGCCCCTCTTGGCTGCACTCTGAGAGCAGTCCTGCCAGTGAAGAGACATGCCATGTGTGACCCCAGAGGGAGCCAGACCTCAGTTTTAGTGGTAGATCCTGAAGCAGCCTTGTGATGTGGTTTCAGCTCTTCTCATGCATGATCCAGAGCCAGTGCTGGTTGCCCAGAGATCTACTTCATTACTCACTGGGAGCTGTTCCAGGAACCCTGGGGAAGCCACTCCTATCTGCACACCTGGTAATGGCCAAGATTCTGAAGACCCTTCATTGGAACCTTATCCTAGCATCAACTGCACTGACCAAGGTTCCAGAGGTTGTCCAACCCACTTAGGGATCAGAGAAGATCCACACCCAGTAGTGCCCCTGGTAACAGTTCCACCAATCACAAACCCAATGAGAACATTGCAGCAACCACATGAATTGGCACCAATTTCACTCAAGCACAATTCCAGAGGGATTCCCATCAGCCCAGAGACCTGACAGGAAAAAGATACTTCATGCAAATGGTAAGTAAAAGAGCCAGGAGTGTCTATACTATATTTACATCAAACGAAACAGACTTTCAGTCAAAATCTGTCACAAGAGACAAGCAATAATAATAAAGGGGTCAATTCATCAAAAGGACATAATATAGTAAATATATATGCACCCAGCCTTGGAGCACCTAAATATAGAAAGTAAATATTAACAGAACTAAATGAAGAAACGACAATGATACAGTAATAGTAGGGGACTTTCTTACCCTACTTTCAGCAATGGCTAGATCAACCAGACAGAAAATCAAAAAGTAAACAGCAGACTTGAATAACACTATAGACCAAATGGACCCAACAGACATGTACAGAACATTCTATTCAACAGTAGTGAGAGACACAAGGAATATTCTCCAGGATTGATTATGTGTTAGGTCATAAAGAAAGTCTTAACACATTTAAGAAGATTAAAATCATTTTAAATGTCTTTTCTGACCACATAAAACTAAAAATCAAAAAGAGAAGAAATTTTGGACAATTCACAAAAATGTGTAAATTAAACAATGCAATTCAGAACAACCAATGGGTGAAAAAAAGAAGAAAAGGGAAATTTTTAAAGTATATTGAGATGAACAAAAATAGAAATAAAACATATTAAAACATGGGATGCAATAAAAGCAGTGTTAAGAGGGAAGTTTACAGTGATAAATGCCTATATTAAGAAAAGAGAAAAGTACTCAAACAACCTGAACTTCACACCTCAAGGAATTAGAAAAAGAAGAACAAACTGAGGTCAAAAACAGCAGAAAAAAAGAAGTAATAAAGATTAGGGCAGAAAAAAATGAAACAGACTAGAAAAACAAGAGGAAAACCAAAAAAGTACGAGTTTATCTTGTATTTGAAAAGATAAGTGAAAATGACAAACCTTTAGTTAGACTGATGAGAGGGAGAGAGAGAGTGAGTGAGAAAAAGACTCAAGTAAGTATAATTACAAATGAAAAAAGAGACATTACAACTGATACTACTGAAATACAAAAGATCAAAAGTGACTACTATAAATAATTACATGCCAACAAATTGAGTAACTTATAATAGATGAATAAATTTGCAGAAACCTACAATCCAGCAAAATTGAATTATATGAAGAAATACGAAGTCTGAGCTGACAAATAACAAGTAAAAAGATTGAATCAGTCATCATAAATTCCTCAACATGAAAAGCTCCTGACAAAATGGCCTCATTATTCTATTTTACCAAACTTTTAAAAAAGAATTGATACTAATGCTTCTCGAATCACCCCCCACAAAAAAAAAATGAAATTTAAGAGGAGAAAAATGTTCAAATTCATTTCACAATGCCAGCATTATCTTCATACCAAAGCCACATAAGGACACTATAAGAAAATTACAGATCTATACCCTTGATAAGCCTAACAGCGAAAATCCACAAGAAAATATGAGCAAACAAAAATCAACACTATAATCAAATAGAACTTACCTATGGAATCCAAGGATGGTTCAATCTACATAAGTCATTAAAAGTGATATCACCACAATAACAGAATAAAAAATAAAAGTCATATGATCATCTTAATAGATGAAAAAATGGTATTTGACAAATTTCAATATTCCTTTATAAAAAAACTTTTAATACATTAAGTATAGAAAAATATACCTCACTGTAATACAGTTGGTATGTTTCATGTTCACATCTAACATCATATTCAAAGGTGAAAAGCTAAAAGTTTCTCCCCTAAGATCAGAAAAAAGGCAATGGTGAACACTCACCACTTGATGGAGCAATTAGGCAAGAAAAAAAAAATCACCCAAATTGGTAGAAAGGAGGAAGTAAAATTGTATCTGATTACAGATGACATCACTTTACATATAAAAAAATCATACAGACTCCACAAAAATACTTGTAGGACAAATAAAAAAACTTATTAAAACTGCAGGATACAAAATCAACATACCTAAATTAGTTGTCTTTGTATACACTAGTAATGAATTATCTGAAAATAAAATTAAGGAAATGATCCCATTTATAATACTATCAAAATGAATAAAATACTTAGGAATATATTTAACCAAAGAAGTAAAAGGTCTGCACACTTAAAACTATGAGGTACTGATTAAATAAGGTGAAGAAGACACAAATAAATGGAAAGATATCCAGACAGGTGTGGTGGGTCATGCACGGTGCTCACATTGGCACTTTAGGAGGCCAAGGAGGGAAAATCTCTTGAGCTCAGGAGTTTGAGACTAGTTTGGACAACATAGGAAGATCCTGTCTTTATGGAAAACACAAAGTTAGCTGGGCATGGTGGTTCATTCCTGTAATCCTAGCTACTAGGGAGGCTAAGGCATCAGGATTGCTTGAGCTTGGGAAGTAGGCTATAGTGAGCTGTGATCATGCCACTTCACTCCCCACTGGACAAGAGAGCAAGACTTCATAGAGAAAAAGTAAAGAAAGATATGCCATTTTCATGTGTTGGAAGAATTAATATTTTAAAGATGTTCTATTACCCAAAGTAATCTACAGATTCAATGAAATCCTTATGAAAATTCAAGTGTCATTTTTTTCCAGAATAGAAAAAAAAAACAACTAAAATTAATAGGGTACCAAAAAGACACTGAAAAGCTAAAGCAATCTTGAGAAAGAAAAACAAAAGTGGAAGTATCACACTCTCTGTTTTTAAACTATATTACAAAGCTATAGTAATTAAAACAGATGGTACTGGAATAAAAGCAGGTACATAAATCAATGGAATAAAAAGATAGCTCAGAAATAAACCCATATATATATGACATTCATTCACTAACAAGGGTGCCAAGAATACATAATAAGAAAAGGAGAATCCCCTCAAATGTTGTTGGGAAAACTGTATACCCACATGCAAAAGAACAAAATTGGGCTCTTATTTACACCATATGCAAAAATTAACTCAAAATGGATTAAAAACTTAAATGTAAGGTTTGAAACCATAAAACCACTAGAAGAAAACCTATGGAAAAAGCTCTATGACATAAGTCTTTGCAACTTTTTTTTTTTGATATGAGACCAAGAGCACAGGCAACAAAAGCAAAAATAAACCAATGGGACTATGTCAAATTTTAAAGCTTCTGTACAAAAAAAGAAATAAACAACAAAATCAAAAGTCAACCAACAAAATGGGAGAAAATATTTGCCAACCATATATTTAATAAGACATTAATAGCCAAACTACATAAATAACTCACACAATTCTATAGCAAAAAAAAAAAAAAAAAAAAAAACAAAAACAAAGAAAGAACCCAACTTAAAAATGGGCAGAAAGGACCTAAATAAACTTTTTTTTCAAAAAAGACATACAATGGCCAACAAATATATATAAAGGTGCTCAATGTCACTAATCATCAGGGAAATGCAAATCAAAATTACAATGAGATGTCATCTAACACCTGTTAGGATGGTTATTATCAAAAAGGCAAAAGATAAGTGTTGGTGAGAATGTGGAGGAAAGGATACCCTTGCACACTGTTGATAGGATTATAAATTAGTACACCCATTGTGAGAAGCAGTACAGCAATTCCTGAAAAAAAAAATTAAAAATAGAACTACCATGCTATTCAGCAATCTCCCTTCTGGGTATATACCCAAAGCAAATGAAATCAGTGTTTCAAAGAGATGTCTGCACTCCCATGTTCATTCCAGGACTATTCACACTGGACAAGATATGGAAAACCCTAAATGTCCTTAGATTGAAGAGTGGATAAAGAAAATGTATGCATACAATGAAATATTATTTAGCCATAAAAAGTAAGGAAATCCTGATGTTTAGAAAAATGTGGATAATCCTGAGTGACATTATGTTAAATAAAATAAGCCAGACACAGAAAAAATACTGTATGATCTCCCTTACAAGTGGGATTTTAAAAAATCGAACTCATAAAAACAGAGAAAGGTAATTTCCAGGGACTGTGAGGCTGGAGAAATGAGAAAATGTTGATCAAGGCCTACAGACTTTTAGTCATAAGAATAAAAAGTTCTGGGTAGCTAACATATTTCATGGGTGGTGATGGATGTGCTAATTAATTTGAATGTGATAATCATTGCACAATGTATTTAAATATCAATAAAAGAACATTGTAAGAGTCGATGAAAATAAACTTTATTTTATACTTGGGGATAATTTAGAGATAAAGATGAATGTTTAGAAAAATACGTATATTCAAAATAAACCAGTGGGAAATAAAACTGGAGCTTAGGAAACTTTTTAATCAAATTTGTTAAAACATCACATTTTTCAAAGTTAATGTATGGTAAAGTAGCCTTTAGAACAAAGAAAATTACAAGAATAGAGAAGAATGTTACACGATGATAATAGTTTGAATCCACCAGGAAGGTTTAACAAATTATAGAGCTCCAAAATGCATAAATTGAGAACTGACAATGCTAAAAAGAAATATAGACAAGTCAATGGCTATAGCTGCGGGCTTTGGTACTCCCTTCTTAGTAACGTATAACTACTAAACAAAAATTCAGTAAATTATTATATCCACCGAGTCAGAAAATGCACTTGACATTTCAACACCACATTCATTAGAAAAACTCCCAACGAGTTAGGAATAGAGGGAAATTATCTCAACTTGATAACACTTAACAAAAACCTATAGCCAGCATAGTTAATTGTAAAGAACAAGGGCTTTCTGCTTAGAAATGGGAACAATGCAAGGACACTGTCACCATTCATTCAGTATGGTACTAGAAGTTCCTGTTCCTGAGATAAGAAAAGCAAATAAAATATATAGGTTGAAAAAAAAAGAAATAAAACTATCCTTATTTGTGGATGATAGAATTGTCCAGGCAGAAGGTTCCAAAGAATCTTTAATAAAACTCCTAAAACTAATAAGTGAGTTCAGCAAGACTACAAAATGCAAGATCCACACATGGACACACACACACACACACACACACATGCACACACACACATCAATTGCATTACTTTATGCTAACAATGAACACATGGACATTGAATTTTAAAATGGAATACCTTTTGCAATCACTTGAAAAACAAGGAAATACTTAGGTATATATTTAATAAAATATAAATTCTATTTATTGAAAAATTATAAAATTTTAATGAAAGAAATTAAAGATTTAAATAAGTGGGGACATATCATATTCATTGATTGGAAGACTCAAAGTCGTGTAGATACTATTTTTCTGCAATTTGACCTACATTTTTAATGTAATTCCCATCCAAATTGAAGCAAGACATTCTGCAGACATAAACAAATATTTCTAAACTTTAGAATAGCTGAAACGATTTTGATAAAGAAGAATCAGTTGGATGAATTACTCTACTCTAAAATATCCTATTTAACTATAGTATTCAAAGCAATGTGGTACTAGAGTTTGGTAGACACACAGATCAGTAGAATAGAAAAGAGGATCCAGAAATCAGCCCACATAAATATGTCCAACTGATATTTTACAAATGTGCAGAACCATTTCAATGAAAGGAACATAGTTTTTTCAACAGATTGTACTGGAGCAATTAGACCTCCCTAGGCAAAAAGTGAACCTTAAGCTAAACTTTCCATGTTATAAAAAATTAAATTAAAAAAAAGTCAACTAAAAAAAATGTAAAACTCTAACACTTCTAGAAAAAAAATAGCAGAAAATCTTGAGATTTAGGGCTAGGTAAAATATTCTAATACTTGACATAAAAAGCAGATCCGTACACAGAAAAATTGATAAACTGGATCTAATTAAATCTGCACAATACAGGAAACAGACAACAAAGTGGAGAGACCACCCATAGAATGGAAGAAAATATTTGGAAACTATTCCTCTGACAAGATAGTAATAATTAGCCTATATAAGTAGCTCAAGGAACTTGACAGGAAAGGATCAAATAATCCAATTAAAAATGTGCAAAAGACCGTAGTAGGTATTTCTCAAAAGAAGACATGCAAATGGTCCACCGGTATTTGAAAAAATGCTCCACATTGCTACTCTTCAGATAAATGCAAATAAAAACTGCAGTGATGTATCATCTCACCCCATTTAAAATGGCTTTTATCAAGATGACAGGCAATAATGGATTCTGACAAGGATGTAGAGAAAGGGGAACTTTCTTACACTGTGAGTGGGAATATAAATTATTAAAGCCAGGATGGACAATAATGTAGAGGTTCCTCAAAAAACTAGACAGAGAACTCCAATATAATGCAGAAATTCTACTACTGGGTTTATATCCAAAAAAAGGATATCAATATATCACAAAGATATCTGCACTTCTGTTTATCGCAGCACTATTCACAGTAGCCAAAATATTTAATCAACTTAGTGCCCATCAACAGATGAATGAATAAGGAAAATGTGGTATATACACATAATGGAATATTGTTCAGCCATAAAAACAAATGAAATCCTGTCAATTGCAGCAACATGCATGGAACTGGAGGTCATTATGTTAAGTGAAACAAGACAGATACAGAAAGGCAGATATTGCATGTTCACACTTACATTTGGGAGCTAAAGAAGTGACTCTCATGGGAGTAGATTACTGGTTACTCATCTACCACTGGAGGGTAGTGGGGGGAAGAAGGAATCAAGAAAAGTTGATTAATGAGTACAAATATACAGTATGATAGAATAAATAAGACATAGTGTTAAATAGGTCAGTAGGGTGACTATAGTTCACAATAATCTATTGCAAATTTCAAAAGCCTAAAGGATAATAATTTGAATGTTTCTAGAATAAAGAAAAGACAACACTATAGGTGATGAATATCGCCGTACACTGTCTTGATCTTTACCAACATATGACTGTATTAAATCATCCCATGTATGCCAAAACTATGTACATTTATTAGCATCAATAAAAAAATTTAATAAAAGAAACTAAAACATTTGTTCTCTGAAAGCTCATGAGAAGGGAAAAGACAAGCAATCGACTGAGTGAAAATACGGCATTTGCAAACTGGATATTTAACCATTGATTACTATCTAGAATATATAAAGAACTAAAATTCAACAGTGAAAACACAATCTAATCAGAAAATTGGCAAAATACATGTGTAGACATTTCAGCAAAAAGAATGTACAAATAGCAAAGAAACACATGAAAATATGTTTTGCATCATTAGCCATTAGGGAAATGTAAATTAAAACCACTATACCACACAAAACACCTATCAAAATGGCTAAAGTTTAAAGATGATAATAATAAGAGAAAGAACACCAAGTATTAGAAAGTTTGCAAATTAACTATGTTACTTATGAATTACGGGTGGGAATATAAATGATACAATCACTCTGGAAAACAATTTAGCAATTATTGTAAAAACTTAACATATAAACACCATATGACCCAGTTGTACTTCTGGTCATTGGCTAAAAGATAAATAAAAAAATTTATGTCCAAACAAAACTTGTACATGAATGTTTATAATGGTTTTATTTTGAATGAAGACTGGAGTCGTCCCCAAAGTCCTTCAATAGGTGAATAAACACACTAGGATATAATCATACCATAGAATACTAATCAGCAATAAAAAGGAACACATTTTATACATGTAACAATTTGAATGAATCTGCAGGAAATTATGTGGAACACAAAAAAAGTCATGAACCCCAAAAGCTTACACACTGTGTGATTCCATTGATGTAGCATTTTTTGAAAGGAGAAGAGTTTGGAAGTAGAGGACAGAATAGTGGTTAACTGGTGACAGGGCCAAGGGGCCAAGGAACAGTGAGGGCAACAAAAACGTTTCCAGTGGTGTTGGAACTGTTCAGTATGTTGACTATGGTGGTGGATATAGGAAACTACATAGATGACACAATTGTATAGAACATCATGCACACATTCTGGGCAAATATGAATAAGATTGGTGAATTATATCAATGCCAATATCCTGGTTATGATATTATGCTATAATTTTGCAAAATGTTACCTGGGGGAAAACTGAGCAAAATGTATAAGGAGGCTGTCTCTGTGCTATTTCTTCTAACTGCATATTTTTAAAAAGTTAATTCAATTGTATGGTTTAATCTAGAGTGATAGGAAAAACAGCACTGCTTTGTAACAGGATTTCTCTTACATGATCACTAAATAGGAGCTTCTAACATAATAGGAGCATCAACCTGTAACTTCAGTAAAATGTGAAAGTCAAATTGGTTGATTCATAATCTTTCCTAAGCAAGAAAAGCTGAGGTAATAGTAGTAGAGTTAAAACCTCCAACATGAAAAGGCAAGTGAATTTTACCTCACCCAGACCTCTTTGAGCTGTATTTCAACAAAAGTGAAAATGAACACTTGCCCCCAGGAAGGCACACCTTCAGTCTTGAGCTGCTCTTGACTGCTCACAGGTTTCACGGCCTACTCTGCTGCTTAATGGCAGCTTCAGGGGTGCAGGGCTTCATTTTATGTTCATTCTCACATCAGTTGAGTAGCCTTAGCTCTAAGCAAACTGTTGTCAGGACATCTATATTGTTGCGACATGCCTATTTGATATTGTAGTAGTTGCCTGTAGCCATCTAAACTGCCTGATTGGTCCAAGTTATCTCCCCCAAGGTCCAATTACTATTTAATTTAATTCTTTGATACAAACTTGAATGTGTCCTGAGGAGTCTTTCCTCCACCTCATTTTCTCATAATTAGGATCATAAGTCCTGGAAAGTGAAGGAGTTCAGAAAAGTCCAGCCCAAAATATGCTGTTTTGGCACATTTACTATTTTAAGTTAAAGGCACTTGAAAACCAGCAGGTGCAAGAAAATCACTCTGACCTTTGCTCTGTTACTTAAAAAGCAGGAGATAAAATTCTCTTGTAAAAGATGCCCTACTTATATCAGAAGGAAATGAAAGAATTGTTATTATTTTCAAGGATGGACAGTTAAACTTGAAGAAAATTGATACAAGCAAATCTCGATAGCCTAACCCTTACCATCCTAGTGACTTCTCCATCCAATTGACTGGCCTAAGCTAAGCCTCTGTGTCTTGCCACATTTTTACAATGTATTGCTCTTTTTCTAATTCAGTGTATGAGTGTTTAACTCCAACTTTGTCTTTGGTCTTTATTTCTTCATTTTCCTGGGCCACATCAAGTATGTGTTAATTAAATTTATATGTTTTCTCCTGTTGGTCTGTTTTATGTCAACTCAATCCTCAGGCCCAATCAAAAAACGCTAGAAAGATAGAGGCAATGTTTTCATTCTTCCCAGAATGTCCCTGATTGACCTGATTTAAGGATTTTTTATTGTATTCCTGGCATAACTATAATTGTCTTTCATTCTTTTTTAAGTGAAATTCATTAATTTATTCATAAAATAAACATGGATTGAGTTCCTATTATGTGTCAGATACTGTGCTGGGTATTGAGGATCCAAGATAGTCATAAGGAGGTTACAGTCCAGAGAGCATAATGCCCTGGTGAAGAAAATGCAAGTATTATTTTGTATTTATATTATTTATTTTCCTCAGGTCAGAGAGCCCAACCTGTTACTCAGGAACTTGGAGAGTTAAAATGATTGCAAGGAGACTCTGAAATCTTACATTTACTCATTATTTCCTAAAGACTTAATAGGTGATAGATGCAAATTTACATATCTTTCATTATTTCAAGTAAACAGTAATACATCCAAATATCTACTCAAATTTTCAAATATTTATAAAAGTTATTCTATCTGTAAAATATAATAAAATTAATAAAATATAAACTAAATGAATTGTAACTTTACTAATTTCTCTTGGTTGATATTAATAGTAATATTATAATCTAGTAAAAATATTTTGTATGAATAGAACCTATTTCAATATTTAAAAGGAGAATCTCATGTTCCAACAGTAGAAACCACCTGAGAATGCCTGGCCATTTAAACTGCTAAGGTAAATGAGCCTAAGACACAGATTTTAATACAAACGAGTAATTCATTAATACATTGTTTTCTTCAAGTTTAAATAATGTTAGACTTTATTTTTAGTGACTTCTTTTTTTTTTCCTTTCAATTTTTAATTTAGGTTAAGAGAGTACACACACAGTTTTACTACATGGGTAAATTGTGTGTTGCAGGAGATTGATGTAAAATTATTTTGTCACCCAGGTAGTAAGCATAGTACTCAGTAGGTAGTTTTTTTGATCCTTACTCCACTCCCACCCTCCACCTGGAGTAGGCCCCGGGTGTCTATTTTTCCTGTCTATGTGTTCATGAGTACCCAGAATTTAGCTGCCACTTATAAGTGAGAACATGCGGTATTTGGTTTTCTGTTTCTGCATTTATTTACTTAGGATACTGGCCTCCAGCTACATCCATGTTGCTGCAAAAGACAAAATTTCATTCTTTTTATGGCTGCACAGTATTCCACGGTGTACATGTACCACATTTCCTTTATCCAGTGCACCATTGATAGGCTTCTATGTTGATTCCATCTATTTGCTACTATGGAGTGCTGTGATGAACATGTGTGTGTATGTGACTTTATAGTGGAATGATTTATGTTCCTTTGGGTATATACCCAGTAATGAGATTGCTGAGTTGAATAGTAGTTCTGTTTGAAGTTCTTTGAGAAACTTCCAAACTGCTTGCCACAGTGGCATTCCCACCAGGAGTGTATAAGCATTCCCTTTCCTCCACAACCTTGTCAGCATTCTGACTGGTGTGAGAGGGTATCTCACTGTGGTCTTATGGTTGTAGGTGTGATCAGATGCAGATCCCTTGGTTGTAGGTGTGCAACTTTATTTATGGGTTCTCTAGCCTGTTCCACTGGATTATGCTCCTTCATTTTTGAAAGTACCATGGTTTGATTGACAAATCATATGTTTACCATATTCATAATCATATGTTTTAGTGTAATTTTACAGAATGTGCAATTTTCAAGAAGATGTATATTAATATGTAGCAGAAAAGCTCATAATTGCCCTGAGGAAGTGTACTCAACACTATGTATGTGTGTAGGATGATAAATCTCCACCTAGATGTTTTATTTATTTATTATTGGATTTGTTAACTAGCAATATTAAGTATAAGAAATAAAAACAGATTTTTTTGTCACCCTAAGTCCAAGTGATGTTAAAAAGTTGTTCAAAAAGAAACAAACACTTTTGATATTCATTATTCAAGTGATTGTATAGAAACTACCAAAACTTTGATGAAGCAAACTAAAAAACTCTAATAATTATTTCTATGTTTTATAAATACTTAATTTGCAACTCTTCATGTACAAGGCACACATGAAACTTATAATCTTATTTAAGAGTAAGTAAACTGTGACCTACTAGCTGGCTGCCTTGTTTTGTTTTGTTTTGTTTTGAGACAGAGTCTCATTCTGTCACCTAGGTACTGGAGTGCAGTGGCAGGCATGATCTTGGCTCACCGCAACCTCTGCCTCCCAGGTTCAAGTGATTCTAGTAGCTCAGCTTCCCTAGGAGCTAGGGTTACAGGAATGGACCACCACACCCAGCTAATTTTTGTATTTTTAGTAGAGACGGGATTTCACCATGTTGGCCAGAATGATCTCGAACTCCTGACCTCAGGTGATCTGCCTGTCTCGGCCTCCCAAATTGCTGGTATTGCAGGTATAAGCCGCCACGCCTGGCCTGGCTGCCTATTTTATAAATTTTTTTTGGAACATGACCACATTTGTTTTTAAAGTATTATCAATGGCTTCATTCTCACTTTGGCAAAGTAGTTGCAACCGAGGCCATGTACAGCCTCCCAAATCTAAAATATGTATGTGTCCATTTAGAGAACTGACTCCTAGTTTAAATTAGGCTAAAATTCTATATAGAAGTGAAATTTTCATGATCCATCACTTTATGTTCTCCAGGCTGCAAAGAAGAGATGTTAGAAGCATCTGTTTCTTGATGTACATTCACAAGAAGTTGCATGACATGATCGTTATACATGACCTAGCTTTTGTTTTAGAGGCACGTATATGTTTGAAAAGAATGCCCAAATCAGTGTTATGAAAGATATTCATTAAGGAACCCCCAAACCTCATGATATAAATGAGGTGATGCTTTCTTTTTTTGGAGAGGGAAGTTGCTTGATAATTTTTTAGCTTTAGGAAAAATCAATCTGTCAGTATGTTCAAATACATAATCTTGCCAATGTGTTCTCTGCAAAATAAAAATAGACTGAGTTTATTTGAAAATTTTATGTTTGGAAATTAAGAAAAATAATTTAGTGCTACAAATTAGTTTGTGATAAGTTGTATATTTACATGTTATTAAGAGTCATTGTATATCATTGAATATAAAGTTGTATATATATTATATTTTAGACATATGCAGCTTGTGTACAAATATAATCTATAGATACTTCAAAACAACTTTTGAAATGTTCCTTTTTCTTTAATCATTTTTAATAATTTATGTGATTAAAGAACAAAGTGCAAGTTATTCATCACACTCATGTTAAGTAAAAAGCTAATTTTTAAATTTTCTAGTTATATGAGTAATATGTAAGTTGTTTAAAGTTGTTAAATAAAAGAAAATATATAGTGCCTTAATTTATTTCCAATATTTTTATGCTTTTTAAAGGTTGTGAAATGTTTATCTTTTGCCTCCCTCTCCTTTTGTGCTTTACAACAAAGCCAGCTGTGTTTAATTTTGAAAATTAACTTCTCATAAAATAATTTAGTAAAAATATAATTCAAAATCACGTACTGATAAAGAACATAATGTGTTTTCTATTATTAGATATATATTTATTACCAGCTTTTCATTATTCCTGTTAATACTGCTCACTGCGTTCTTGAAGAAGGCATTCAAAAGTTTAGGAACAAATAATTCCTAATTTTAATAAAGAAAGATGAACAATATTTTTCCCTCCACAAATATGTCATTAAAATAACAATAAAGATAAAAACTTTCCTCAAAAACACAATGCAATAAAGATTTTTATTCTATAAATGTATAGGTCCTGAAAAGAACTAAAATAAGCCCATTAAACACTGGGACATGACTAAAAAATATTGGAGGCAATGATTGTGTTATATTCTATAAAAGATATATATAAATATATATATTCTATAAAAGATATATAGAAATATATATATTCTATGAAAGATATATAAATATATATTCTATATGTATGTATTTCCTTTCATGTAATATCCTAGAAAATAAAGAAGACTAATAACCTACTTCTATGTACAAAACAGGAAAAATAGGTGGAAATCCCACATAAGTAGAATGATACTATTTTAAAGACAAAAGAATTTTAGTCAAGCCATATATATCCTTCCAGATTAATACCAAGCAGACAAACCATCAGCACTAAACAGGGATAGGAGTATGACAAAAAATTTGACCTAGATAAATGTCTTCTTACTCTGGAAAAATTCTGGCTTTAAAGGTATTAACCAACAAAATCAGATAAGAGAAAGAAATAAGAGGAATTATAATTGAAACTGAAGTGGGAAAATCATTAACAAAAATGATATATTTCTTAAAAGAGAAGCTCAGGAGAACCTATTGGAAAACCATTATCAGTGATAATAAATTTTAGTAAGACAACTGGTTGCAAAATTAATATATAAAATTAATACATTCATACCTATAAGAAGAAATTCCCAGGTAATATAATAAATGAAACTGATAGCAGTAAACAATATTAACTAATTAGGAAAATTATAAAGAGGTCACAGTTACAAGATTTACATGAAAAAACATATAATATGTATGTACAGTTAGAAAGACAATATAAAAATGAGTTATCTTTACACTAATCCATATGTAATAATTATATTAAAGAAGTACATGTTAATAGGTTCATAGCAGATGATATCTTTACTCTTTCACCTTCTTATTCAAATAAATCTAAAGACACATTTCTGGCACTTAGAAAAATATCTCTGGCCAGTACCATGAATTTTTTTCTTTAATCTTCTGATAAATAAACAGTTCTCTGTTTAGTTTTACTTCCATAGATAGCCATATGTTTGCAATAAATTACTCATCTCACTGACATAATTACATTACTTGTGTTATCTCTGATTTAGACTGGGAACTTCTACCTAGTCATTTAACAATTACATAAGAAAACATATAGGCCGGGAGCGGTGGCTCATGCCTGTAATCCCAGCACTTTGGGAGGCTGAGGCTGGTGGATCACGAGGTCAGGAGATCGAGACCATCCTGACCATCATGGTGAAACCCTGTCTCTACTAAAATACCAAAAATTAGCCAGGTGTGGTGGCACGTGCCTGTAGTCCCAGCTACTCAGGAGGCTGAGGGAGGAGAATCGCTTGAATCCAGCAGGCAGAGGTTGCAGTGAGCCGACATCATGCCACTGGAGTCCAGCCTAGTGACAGAGCAAGACTGCTTCTAAAATACATAAATAAATATATATAATATGTAATAATAAGTTTAATATATTATGTTTTGTAATATATAAAAATATACATTTTAGCATAGACTAAATTGTAGAGGTAGAATTATTTTTCTTGGTTTACATTCAATTTTCAAAAAGACTCAGTCTGTCTTTATTTTTCAGAGAAAACATTGGAGAGATCATGTATTTAAACCGACAGAATGATTTTTTTTTCTAAAGTTATTATATTAGTCAGGGTTCTCTAGAGAGACAGAACTAATAGGATAGATGTATATATAAAAGGGAGTTTATTAATGAATATTGACTCACAAGGTGAAGTCCTACAATAGGCTGTCTGCAAGCTGAGGAGCATGGAAACCAGTCTGGGTACCAAAACCTCAAAAGTAGGGAAGCCAACAGTACAGCCTTCAGTCTGTGGTCAAAGATCTAAGAGTCTCAAAGCTGAAGAACTTGGATTTTGATGTTCAAGGGCAGGAAGCTTCCAGCATGGAGAAAGATGGAGACCAGAAGACTGGGGTACTTTAGTCTTTCCACATTCTCCTGTCTGCTTTATATTCTGGCCACACTGGCAGTTAATTAGATTGTGTCCACCCAGATTGAGACTGGGTCTGCCTTTTCCAGTCCACTGACTCAAATGTTCATCTCCTTTGGCAACACCCTCACAGACATACCCAGGAACAATATTTTGCATCCTTCAATCCAATCAAGTTGACACTCAAAATTGACCATCACAAATCCACCCCTTGTCAACTTGAACCCATACACATCTCCTCAAATCATATATAATTTTTAAATAAAGACAATAAGAAGGTAGTAATTATGCCTAATGTAATATAGCTACCCTTCCTTCAACTGGAAATGCACCAATCGCCAGTCCAAGTGCTATGACATAAAGTTAACAACACTTAAATGCTGATATGAACTCAATCAATCTTATGTCACATGATAAAGAAAAAAGAAAACAAAATAAAGATTTTTTTAGTACAAGTGTATAATGCACCAACATGTTCTTAACAAAATAAAGTGGAAATACTTAGGACAATTACAGTCCTCATTTCTGCAACTGGCCACCTGGTTGTAACTGGTATTGATAACTACCTTCTCCTACTTCCCAGTCTGTATTCCCTTTGCCTTCAGCAAAGACCTCAGCAGCTCATGGTTTTTTACCCGGTAGAGTAACCCAAACATTTATTCCTGAAGAATCTGGGCCACTTGTAGTCCTGCCTGGATTGGGCTATTGTAGTTTCCCATTGACCTTAATCACAGGGCATGGTAAAATTAACAGACACCCTAAGGGATCTCCTGTATTCCATGCATACTCTTCCTTAACTCCATTGTGGAATAGAAGACTAATTTCATCTTGATAGTCCGGATCAATCACCCTAGCAAACACTAACTCCCTTCTTAGCCTGCTGACTTATGGATAGGAGGAGCCCAAAGTGTCCAGGTGCCAATCTAACATCCAGTTTAATGGAATCATTGTGTCCCCTGGTGGCAGCATTCCTCCCTCTGGAACTAAGACCTCTAGGCCAGCAGAATGTAATGTCATAGGAACAGGAAGCAAAAATTTTGCTAGTGGGTCATGAGGGGTGAGGGTGAGGGTGCCACTTCCACTTCCACCCCTTGCTTCTTGGCCCCTTGAATCCCAGCTAGGAGAGAAACAGTACCATATATTTGATGCTGATTCAGAGCATACACAGCCTTCTAGGGAACTCTCTCCCCGCCCTACAAAGTTTTGACACCTAGTTGGCATTGTAATTGTCACTTTAAAAGGCCATTCCATCAGTCTATCAATCCACCTGCTTCAGGATAATGGGGAACATGGTAAGACCAGTGAATTCCATAAGCATGAGCCCACTGCTGCACTTCTTTAGCTATAAAGTGAGTGCCTTGGTCAGAGGCAATGCTGTGTGCAATATTATGGTGGTGGATAAGACATTCTGTGAATCCACGGTTTTTCTTTTTCACTGCATCATCTGTGTGCAAAATATCTAAACTCTTATGCTGTGTTTCTCTTTTAAAACTGAATGCTTTTAACAAAACCCAAGTCACCTCTTAAGTGCTTTGCTGCTTAGAAATTTCTTTTGCCAGACACCTTAAATCATCTTCAAGTTCAAAGTTCCACAAATCTCTAGGGCAAGAGCAAAATGCTACCTGTCTCTTTGCTAAAACACAGCAAGAGTCACTTTTACTCCAGTTCCCAACAAGTTCCTCATCTCCATCTGTGACCATCTCATTTTGGGTTTCATTGTTCCATATCATTATCAGCATTTTGGTCAAATCCATTCACCAAGTCTCTAGGAAGTTCCAAACTTTCCCACATTTTTTTCTTTATTCTTCTGAGCCCTCCAAACTGTTTCAACCTCTGCCTGTTACCCAATTCCAAAGTTACTTCCATATTTCCAGGTATCTTTACAGCAGATCCCCACTCTACCATTACCAATTTACTGTATTAAACCATTTTTATGCTGCTTATAAAGACATATCTGAGACTGGGTTATTTATTTAAAAAAAAAGAGGTTTAATAGACTCACAGTTTCATGTGACTGGGGAGGCCTCGCAATCATGGTGGAAGGTGAAAGGCATGTCTTACATGGTGGCAGACAGGAGAGAATCAGAACCAAGTGAAAGGGGTTTCCCCTTATTAAACTATCATATCTTGTGAGACTTTTCCACTACCATGAGAACAGTATGGGAGGAAACCGCCCCATGATTCAGTTCTTTCCCACCAGGTCCCTCCCACAACACATGGGAATTATGGGAGCTACAACTCAAGATGAGATTTGAGTGGGGAGACAGCCAAACCTTAACAGCTATGAAAGTATCAAACAACTTCTTCCAAAGAATGAAGCACTATCTCATTTGTTTCAACAGATCTGGAGTTTCCTTAATCATATCTTCCATAACACTGTCTTGGGCATTCTTTGTGAAGACAGACTTCCCTCTAAGCAGTAGCCATGCACTATACAGATATGCAACTTCTTGTATAGTGAGATTGATGTTTATTTTTCTACTTGTATGTTTTCTTCTTCACCTCCTTTCATAAATTGCTTCTGGCACCCTCAGATTTGGGTAATTGGAGGAGGCAGGAATTCATGTTTTCTCACAGTATCCTTTATTTGTTTTATTCATAGTGATATGGTTTTTAGTTGGAACCATATCTATAGCTGTTCGATATTTTCTTATCTTGCCCATTACCTTATCAATCAGAAGTGGGATGGAGTCAATCTCCTGGTTATGTTCATAAAAGGAAGAGCATATGCCTCATACCCTTCTTCCTTTACTCTGCTTTGGGTGTTGTGGATGTGGTAGAATCATCTTGTATTATTATACCAAAAGAAACATCATGAAATAATGAAGCAATGAGACCTAAAGAGACTGGGTTCCTGAGGAAACGAAGTCATAATATCAGCTCTCTGGATGGCTTATATATTGTTCTTTGAAAGAAATATGTTTCTGTCTTATTTAACATTCTGTATTTCATCAGACAAAAGTAAATTTTAACTAATAAGGTGCAGGAGGGTGTGATAAGGCAGGGGCACAGAACTGACCGGACAGTACAGTTATAATCTCCTTTCACAGCCCCAGTCACGGGCTTATAGATAAAACTCCTATCTCTCTGGGACAGAGCACCTGGGGAAAGGGAAAGGGGTGGCTGTGGACAAAGTTTCAGCAGACTTAAACAGTCTTGCCCATCAGCTCTGAAGAGAGCAATGGATCTCTAAGCACAGTGCTCGAGCTCTACTAAGGGACATACTGCCTCCTCAAGTGGGTCCCTGGCCCTCTTGCATCCTGACTGAGAGACACATCCCAGCAGGGGTTCACAGATACCTCATACAGGAGAGCTCTGGCTGGCATTTGGCAGGTGCCCCTCTGGGACAAAGCTTCCAGAGGAAGGAACAGGCAGCAATCTTTGCTGTTCTGCAGCCTCTGCTGGTGACATCCAGGCAAACAGGGTCTGGAGTAGACCTCCAGCAAACCCCAGCAGACCTGCAGCAGAGGGGCCTGACTGTTAAAAGGAAAACTAACAAACAGAAAGGAATAGCATTAACATCAACAAAAAAGGATGTCCACTCAAAAATCCCACCCAAAGGTCACTAACATCAAAGAAGGCAGATAAATCCATGAAGATGAGGAAAAACCAGTTCAAAAAGGCTGAAAATTCCTAAAACCAGAATGGCTCTTCTCCTCCTCCAAAGGACCACAACTCCTCACCAGCAAGGGAAAAAAAATGGACAGAGAATGAGTTTTACAAATTGACAGAAGTAGGCTTCAGAAGGTGGGTGACAACAAACTCCACCGAGCTAAAGGAGTATGTTTTATCCCAATGCAAGGGAGCTAGTGCCTTGAAAAAAGGTTAGAGGAATTGCTAACTAGAATAACTAATTTAGAGAAGAACATAAATGATCTGATGGAGCTGAAAAATGCCACACAAGAACTTTGTGAAACACACGCAAGTATCAATAGTTGAATTAATCAAGCGGAAGAAAGAATATCAGAGATTGAAGATTTATTTAATGAAATAAAGCATGAAGACAAGATTAGAGAAAAAAAATAAAAAGGAATGAACAAAGCCTCCAAAAAATAAGGGACTATGTGAAAAAAACAAACCTATGTTTGATTGGTGTACCTGAAAGTGACAGGGAGAATGGAACCAAGTTTGAAAACACTCTTCAGGATATTATCCAGGAGAACTTCCCCAACCTAGCAAGGCAGGCCAACATTCAAATTCAGGAAATTCAGAGAACAGCACAAAGATATTCCTTGGGAAGAGCAACCCCAAGACACATAATCATCAGATTCACCAAGGTTGAAATGAAGAAAAAAATGTTAAGGGCAGCCAGAGAGAAAGGTCAGGTTACCCACAGAGAGAAGCTCATCAGACTAACAGTGGATCTCTCGGCAAAAACTCTACAAGCCAGAAGAGAGTGGGGGCCAATATTCAACATTCTTAAAGAATTTTCAACCCAGAATTTCATATCCAGCCAAATTCAACTTCATAAGCAAAAGAGAAATGAAACCTTTGACAGACAAGAAAATGCTGAGAGATTTTGTCACCACCTTACAAGAGCTTTTGAAGGACACAGTAAATATGGAAAGGAAAAACTGGTACTAGCCACTGCAAAAACATACCAAATTGTAAAGACCATTGACACTATGAAGAAACGGCATCAACTAACAGGCAAAATAACCAGCTAGCATCATAATACCAGGATCAAATTCACACATAACAATATTAACCTTAAGTGTAAATGGAATAAATGCCCCAATTAAAAGACACAAACTGGCAAATTGGATAAAGAGTCAAGACCGATAGGTTTGCTGTATTCAGGAGACCCATCTCACGTGCAAAGACACACATAGGCACAAAATAAAGGGATAGAGGGATACTTACCAACCAAATGGAAAGCAAAAGAAAAAGCAGAGGTTGCAATCCTAGTATCTGATAAAACAGACTTTAAACCAACACAGATAAAAAAAGCAAAGAAGGGCATTACATAATGGTAAAGGATCAATACAGCAAGAAGAGCTAACTATCCTAAATATATATGCACCCAATACAGGAGAACCCAGACTCATAAAGCAAGTTCTTAGAGACCTACAAAGAGACTTAGTCTCCCACACAATAATAGTGGGAGACTTTAACACCCCACTGTCAATATTAGACAGATCAACCAGACAGAAAATTAACAAGGATATTCAGGACTTGAACTCGGCTCTGGACCAAGTGGACCTAATAGACATTTACAGTACTCTCCACCCCAAATCACCAGAATATACATTCTTCTCAGCACCACATTGTACTTATCCTAAAATTGACCACATAATTGGAAGTATAATCTGCTGTCAATATCCTTTAGATATGGAAGATCCCCAATATTGATTCTTTCTCTTGTAGGATGTTTTCACAGGCCTGAGGAAATTTTCTCACTAAGGAGTTCCAACTTTTATTCTCTTGAGGCAGTCAAATACCAATCCTTTTGGCCGAGTATTTTTGAAGTTCCCATTAGCAACTGTATATAACTGAACACCTGTAGAATCTTCCTGCTGAGGTCATTTTGTCCTGGCAAAATCCTCTTGAATGGATTTTTGTCCACCACAAAAAGGAACCTATTTCCTGTTGTTGGTGAAAGTCATGCTTTCTTCTGATAGAGTCAGCTGTCTTTGTTATTTAAGCATGTAAGTGGCTCCCACTATACCCCTTCATCCTAGTATACTCAGAAATGAGCCAAGTGTCTGTCATTTTACCACCCCATTAAAGGAATACTTGACAGTATCAATGGATAGTTCTCTTACCATCGCTCACATTGACTTGAAGTGACAAGTAAATGCCCTCTTTCTACATTTATTAAAAGAACAGAATGTAAATATATATTTCTTTTGAAAGAAATTTTTCTTCCTAATAAATTTTTTCTCCTATATGCTTTCACATGACTCTTTTTTTTTTTTTTTTTTTTTTGATGGAGTCTCACACTGTCACCCGGGCTGGAGTTCAGTGGTGCCATCTTGGCTCACTGCAACCTCCACTTCTCACATTCTAGTGATTCTCCTGCCCCAGTCTTCTGAGTAGCTGGGATTACAGGCACCTGCCACCACTCCCGACTACTTTTTTTTTTTTTGTATTTTTAATAGTGACAGGGTTTCACTATGTTGGCCAGGCTGATCTCAAACTCCTGACTTTGTGATCCCCAGCCTCAGCCTCTCAAAGGGCTGGGATTACAGGTGTGAGCCACCATGCCAGGACTAACATAACCTTTTATAAACCATTATGGCAGGAAATAGGCTAAGAGTCACTCTAGGTTCTAAGTCCGTGAGTTGATTTATGACTACAAACTGGAAGAAAAGGTGATAATTGATCAAGGAAACCATTTTCAATACCTTGATGTTCAATTTTCTATTTGCTTCATTGATAAAATGAGCACCATATTTGTTGGCTGTCCACTTACCTTCATCTTAGGAATACTGTGTCACTTTAACTACCTCTACAGCACTCTCCAATTTAGGTACTTGAACCTTAGTCTCATTAAAAGAACTTCACTTATCTTGCTTGTGATAGTTCAGTACTGTTCCTTGGCTCTTATTATTTTTAGATTTCAAGTCCCTATGCGGTCTGGGAGCTTGGGTGTTTAACTGCCTATCTTATTTTTAACTTTGACCTACAGAAGATTACCACCACTGAACTACCCAATGATTATAGCTCTCCTTTTATCTTGATTTTCTTGTGGAACTTTATGTTCTAATGTATTGATCAGCACTCTCAACCCAGACTCATGGGAAAATCCGAAAACAAAAATTCAAATAAATGAAAATGAATACACAACATATTGAAATCTGTGGGATGTAAAAACAGTAAGACTAACCCGATAAAATATAGCATTAAAGGCATGTATTGGAAATGAAAAAAGATATAAAGGTAATAATATATATTTTCATCTTTGGAAATTAGGAAAAAAACAGCATATAAGCTAAACCAAGTAAAAGAGAAGAAATTTTAGGAATTTGAATAAAAATCCATAAAATCATAAATGGTAAAACAACAGAGAATACCAGCAAAACCAATATCTGATTATTTGCAAATATAATGTAATTGATAAAATTCTAGCTAGGATAGCCAGGAAATAAAGAGATAAGCTACAAATTATAAACATCAATGGTGGAAGAGGGGACATCAATACTGTTCCCATGGACATTGAAAGAATAATAAACATAATATGAATAAATCCATGTCCACAAATTTGATAAATAAAAAGAAATGATTGTTTTAAAGACACAAATTACTAAAACTGAAAAACAGAGAAATAGGTCATCTGAATATAAGCCTATTCCTATGGTTTATTCAAAAACTGACAAAAATAACTAAAAATTTTAAATAGAAAACTTTCAAAATGGAAAGTATCAGGCCAAGATGATTTCAGTGGCAAATTCTACAAAACGTTTATCAAAGAAATGATACCTGTTCTCCACAGTAATCTTCAGAAAATAGATGCAGAGGAATTACTTCCTAACATTCTATGAGTTCAACATTACCCTAATATTAAAACAAGACAGCGGCATTATTAGAAAGGAAACATACAGGTCAATTTTTCTTATGAACATAGATTCAAAAATCTTTATTAAAACATTAGCAATTCAAAAAAATTATAAAACAAAAAATTATACAACATAACCAACCAAGTGAGATTTATTCCAAGCATGAAATGCTGGTTCAACACCACCATATCATAGGCAAAATGTTTTTAAAAATGGTATACTCATACTGATTGATACTGAAGAAAACATTTGACAAAAACACACATCCATTTATAATAAAAAATTTTGGCAAGCTAAATTTCAAAGTGAAGTTCCTCACCTTGATAAAGAACATCTACTTAAAACCTATAGTTATAATCATACACAGTGTTATAAAACTGGTTGCTTTCTTCTTTTTTTTTTTAAATTTTTTAAATTTTTAGTCCTGGGGCACATGTACCAGATATTCAGATTTGTTATATAGGTAAACATGTGCCATAGTGGTTTACTGCACCTATCAACCCATCACCTAAATATTAAGCCCAGCATGCATTAGCCATACTTTCTAATACGCTCTCTCTCCACACCCTACTCCCTGATAGGCTCTAGTGCGTGTTGTTTCCATTTTTGTGTCTATATGATCCCATCGTTCAGCTCCCAGTTATAAGTGAGAGCATGTGGTGTTTGGTTTTCTGTTCTTTCATTAGTTTGCTGAGGATAATGGCTTCCACTTTGATCCATGTCCCTGAAAAGAATATGATCTTATTCCTTTTTATGACTGCATAATATTCCATGGTGTATGTGTGTCATATTTTCTTTAGTTTATCATTGATTAGCATTTGGGTTGGTTCCAAGACTTTGCTATTGTGAACAGTGCTGCAAAAAACATACTTGTGCATGTGTCTTTATAGTTGCATGATTTATATTCCTTTGAATATATAACCAGTAATGGGATTCCTGGTCAAATGGTATTTCTGGTTCTAGCTCTTTGAAGAATCACCACACCGTCTTCTGCAATGGTTGAATGAATTTACATTCCCACCAACAGTGTAAAAGCATTCCTATTTCTCTGCACCTTTGCCAGATACTGTTGTTTCTTCATCTTTTAATAATGGCCATTCTGATTGGCATGAGATGGCATCTCATTGTGGTTATGACTTCCATTTCTCTAATGATGAGTTATGTTGAGTTTTTTTAAATATGTTTGTTGGCCTCATCAATGTTTTCTTTTGAGAAGTGTCTGTTCATGTCTGTTGCCCACTTTTTATTGGGGTTGTTTGTTATTTTCTTGTAAATTTGTTTGAGTTCCTTGTGGATTCTGGATTCTGGATATTAGACCTTTGTTGGATAGATAAATTGAGAAGATTTTCTCCCACTCTGTAGATTGCCTGTTCACTCTGATGATCATTTCCCTGTGCAGAAGCTCTTTAGTTTGAGTAGATCCCATTTGTCAATTTTTGCTTTTATTGCAATTGCTTTTGGTGATTGTGTCAGGAAATCTTTGCCTGTGCCCTAGTGGTATTGCCTAGAATTTATTCTAGTGTTTTTATAGTTTTGGGTTTTACATTTAAGTCTTTAACCTCTCTTAGATTAAAGACTTGTGTTAATCTAAGATAGATTAAAGACTTGTGTTAAAGACTCATGTTAATTTTTATATAAGGTGTAAGGAAAGTGTCCAGTTTCAATTTTCTGCAAATAAATGGCTGGTTATCCTAGCAGAATTTGTTGAGTAGGGAATCCTTTCCCCATTGCTTGTTTTTGTCAGGTTTGTTAAAGATCAGATGGTCGTGGATGTGCGATCTTATTTCTGAGTTCTGTATTCTGTTTTATTGGTCTATGTGCCTGTTTTTGTACCACTACCATGCTATAGGTTGTTGATTTGAGATCTTTCTAGATTTTTGATGTGGGCATTTAGTGCTATCAATTTCTCTCCTAACACTGCTTTAGCTGCATCCCAGAGATTCTGGTATGTTGTCTCTTTGTACTCATTGGGTTTCAAACCTTATAGGATAGTTTGAAATCTGGTATGATGATGCCTCCAGCTTTGTTCTTTCTGCTTACTATTGTCTTGGTTATATGGGCTCTTTTTTGGTTTGATATGAATTTTAAAATAGTTTTTTTTTCTAATTCTGTGAATAATGTCAGTGGTAGTTTAATGGGAATAGCATTGAATCTGTAATTTACTTTGGGCAGTAAGACCATTTTCACAACATTGATTCTTCCTATTCATGAGCATGGAATATTTTTCAATTTGTTTGTGTACTTTCTGGTTTCCTTGAGCAAAGGTTTGTAGTTCTCCTTGAAGAAGTACTTCACTTCCCTTGTTAACTGTATTCCTAGACATTTTATTCTTTCTATAGCAATTATGAATGGGAGATCATTCATGATTTGGTTCTCTCCTTGCCTATTGATGGTGTAAAGGAATGCTTTTGATTTTTGCACATTGATTTTGTATCCTGAGACTTTGCTGAATTTGCTTGTCAATTCAAGAAGTTTTTGAGCTGAGATGATGGAGTTTTCTAAATATAAAATTATGTCATCTGCAGACAGAGACAACTTGACTTCCTCTCTTCCTATTTGAATACTCTTTATTTCTTTCTCTTGCCTGATTGCCCTGGCCAGAACTTCCAATACAAAGTTGAATAGGAGTGGTGAGAGAGGGCATCCTTATCTTGTGCTGATTTTCAAGGGGAATGCTTCCAGCTTTTGCCCATTCAGTATAATGTTGGCTGTGAGTTTGTCATAAATGGCTCTTATTATTTTGAGTTATGTTCCTTCAATATCTAGTTTATTGAGGGCTTTTAACATGAAGAAATGCTGAATTTTATCAAAGGCCTTTTCTGCATCTATTGAGATAATCATGTGGCTTTTGTCTTTCAATCTGTTTATGTGATGAATTACATTTATTAATTTGCATATGTTGACCATCCTTGCATCCCAGGGATAAAGCCAACTTGATTGTGGTGGATAAGCTTGTTGATGTGCTGCTGGATTCCATTTGCCAGTATTTTATTGAGACTTTTTGCATCAGTGTTCATCAGGAATATTGGCCTGAAGCTTTCTTTTTTTGTTGTATCTCTGCCAGGTTTTGGTATCAGGATGATGCTGGCCTCAAAGAATGAGTTAGGGAGAAGTCCCTCCTTTTCAGTTGTTTGGAATAGTTTCAGAAAAAAATGGTATTAGCTCCCCTTTGTATTTCTGATATAATTCAGCTGTAAATCTGTCTGGTCCTGGGCTTTTTTTCTTTGGTAGTCTATTTATTACTGCTTCAATTTCAGAACTTGTTATTGATCTATTTGGGGATTCAACTTCTTCCTCTTTCAGTCTTGGGAGGGTGTATATGTCCAGGAATGTATTCATGTTTTCTAGATTATCTAGTTTATTTGCATACAGCTGTTTAAAGTTTTCCCCAATTGTAGTTTGTATTTCTGTGGGGTCAGTGGTAATATTCCCTCTATCACTTTTTATTGTGTCTATTTGATTCTTTCCTCTTTGTTCTATATTAGTCTAGCTAGTGGTCTATCTATTTTATCAACTATTTCAAAAAAACAGCACCTAGATTCATTGATTTTTTTTGAAGGGTTGTTCATGTCTCTGTCTCCTTCAGTTCTGCTCTAATCTTGGTTATTTCTTGTCTTCTGCTAGCTTTGGTGTTTGTTTGCTCTTGCTTCTCTAGCTCTTTTAGTTGTGATGCTATAGGTTGTTGATTTGAGATCTTTCTAGATTTTTGATGTGGGCATTTAGTGCTATAAATTTCTCTCCTAACACTGCTTTAGCTGCATCCCAGAGATTCTGGTATGTTGTCTCTTTGTACTCATTGGGTTTCAAAAAACTTCCTGATTTCATTGAACAGCCAATAATAATTTAATTGAACAACCAATAATGAATTTCATTGTTTACTCAGGAATCATTCAGGAGCAGATTGTTCCATTTCCATGTAGTTTTGTGATTCTGAGTAAGTTTCTTACTCTTGAGTTTTAATTTGATTGTGCTGTGGTCTGAGAGACTGTTTGTTATGGTTTCATTTCTTTTGTATTTGCTGAGGAGTGATTTACTTCCAATTATGTGATCAATTTTAGAGTAAGTGCCATGTGGCACCAAGAAGAATGTGTATTTTGTTGTTTTCAGGTGCAAAGGTCTGTAGAATTTATTCTAGAATAATTCTAGAATATATTAGAATAATTCTATAATGGATCTAGAATGTATTCTAGTGTTTTTACAGTTTTGGGTTTTATGTTTAAAGATCTGTAGACAGCTATCGGGTCAACTTGGTCCAGATCTGAGTACAAGTCATGAATATCTTTGTTAATTTTCTGTCTCTATGGTATGTCTAATATTGTCACTGGGGTTTAAAGTCTCCTAGTATTATTGTATGGGAGTCTAAGTCTCTTTGTAGGTCTCAAAGAACTTGTTTTATGAATCTGGCTGCTTCTGTCTTGGGTGTATATTTAGGATAGTTAGTTCTTCTTGTTCAATTGACCCCTTTACCATTATGTAATGCCCTTCTTTGTCTTTTGTGAACTTTTTTGGTTTAAAGTCTATTTTGTAAGAAACTAGGAGTGCAACCCCTCCTTTTTTCTGTTTTCCATTTGCTTAATAAATGTTTCTCCATCCTTTTATTTCGAGTCTATGTGTGTCCTTGCATGTGAAATGGGTCTCTTGAATACAGCAAACCAATGGATTTTTACTCTTTATCCAGCTTGCCACTCTGTGTCTTTTCACTGGGGCAAAGCCCATTTACATATAAGGTTATTATTGTTATGCGTGACTTTGATCCTGACATCATGATGCCTGGTTATTTTGCTGACTTGTTTATGCATTTGCTTCATAATATCACTGATCTCGGTATTTCAGTGTGTTTTTTGTAGTGGCTGGTATTGGTTTTTCCTTTCCATATTTAGTGCCTTTTACAGGAGCTCTTGCAAGGCAGGCAAGGTGACACACTCCCTCAGCACTTGCTTGTCTGAAAAAGATATTATTTATCCTTCACTTTGGAAACTTAGTTTGGCTGGATATGGAAGTCTAGTTTGGAAATTCTTTTCTTTAAGGATGTTATATATTGGCCCCCAATCTCTTCTGGCTTGTAGAGGTTCTGCGGAGAAGCCTGCTGTTAGTCTGATGGGCTTCTCTTTACAGGTGACCTGGCCCTTTTTTCTGGCTGTGCTTAATAATTTTTCCCCATTTCAACCTTGGAAAATCTGATAGTTATGGGTTGATCTTCTCATGGAGTATTTTGCTGGGGTTCTCTGGATTTCCTGAATTGGAATATTGGCCTGTCTTGCTGGTTGGGGAAGTTACCTGGATGATATCTTTAAGTGGGTTTTCCAACTTGGTTCCGTTCTCCCTGTCTCTTTCAGGTACGCCTATCATTCGTAGGTTTGGTCTTTTAACATAGCCCCATAGTTCTCCAAGGTTTTGTTCATTCATTTTCGTTCATTTTTCTCTAATCTTGTCTGCCTGCCTTATTGCAGCAAGATTGTCTTCATGCTCTGATATCCTTTTTTCTATTTGGTCTATTCAGCTATTCATACTCGTGTTTGCATTACGAGAAGTTCTCGTGTTGTGTTTTTCAGCTCTATTAGATCATTTATGTTCCTCTCTAAACTGGTTACTCTGGTTAACAGCTCCTGTAACATTTTTATCATGGTTCTTAGCTTCTTTGTAGTGAGTTAGAACATAATCCTTCAGCTCAGTGAAGTTCATTATTACCCATCTTCTGAAGCTTACTTCTGTCAATTTCATCCATCTCAGCCTCAGCCCATTTCTGTGCCCTTGCTGGAGGCCTGTGGCAACCTCCTGAAGGAGAAGAGGCACTCTGGCTTTTTGAGTTGTCAGCATTTTTGCATTGATTCTTTCTCATCTTCGTGGGTTCATCCATCTTTGATTTTTGAGGCTGCTGAATTTTGATGGGGTTTTATTTGATGCCTTTTTTGTTGATGTGGCTGTGTTCTGTTTGTTTTTCTTTTAGCAGTCAGACCACTCTTCTGTGGGGCTGCTGCAGTTTGCTTGCAGTCCACTCCGGCCCCTATTCGCTTTGATCCCTCCCCTCCCTGGAGTTAACATCAGGGGAGGCTGCAGAGAGCAAAGATGTCAGGCTGCTTTTTTCTCGGGGGGCTCTGTCCCATAGGGGCACTGGCCTGATGCTGACTGAAACACTCTGTATGAGGTGTCTTGAGACTCCTGTTGAGAGGTCCCACTCAGTCAGGAAAAGTGGGGTTAGGGACCTGTTTAAATAAGCAATGTGCCTGCCCCTTTACAGGGTGGGTGTGCTTCACTTGGGAGAATCACCCTCATCTGGGCTACCCTGATTCTCTAGAGCCAGAAGGCAGAAAAGACTTAAGATCCTTGATGCAGGATACCACAGCTGCCACTCCTCCAGGGAGCTCCTCTCAGGGTTATCAGTGTTCTGTCCACAAATTCTTGCCTGGGGATGCTGAGATTCCCACAGGGAGACTCCACCCACTGAGGAGGAGTTGATCCAGTCCCACTCTCTCACTGGTGTCAGTGGCAAGGGAAAGGGGCCAACAGTGATGGCAGCCACCCCTTTCCCTGGGGAACTCTGTCTTGTTAGGCAGCTTCTCCCTGGCTGCACTGGCTGGGGGAAGTGGGGTATGGCTCTAAGCCAGGGGGTTTGGGCTTGTGGAGGTCTGTGGGAACAGGCCACTTGGCTCCCTGGCTTCAGCCTCCTCCTTACAAGAGTGGATGGATTTCCTGCCTGAAGGGATTTCAAAGAGCAGAGTATGCTAACACTCCTATGTCGCAGTGTCTGCTCAAAGCAGCTGCCCACTCGAGCAGCCCCTGTGATTCTCCACAGCTTTCTGCTTGGGCCCCAAGTCTCTGGTAGCCTGGGCTCAGGAGGGGACCTCCTGATGAGCAGGTTACAAGGATCCCTGGGAAAAGCCTGGTTTACAGGGAAGGGATGTACAATCCCTCATTGTCTCCCTTGGCTGGGGGAAGGAGCTCCCTTTGCCATGTGTAGCTCCTGGGTGGGGTGTTGCTCCACCCTGCTTTTGTTTGCTTTCCGAGGGTCATGCCCGCCACCTAGTCAGTCCCAATAAGAGAAATTTGGTACCTCAGTTGAAGATGCAGAGTGCACTCACAGTTTTTGTCCTCCGTGGGTGCTGCTGAGCAGAGCTGCCTCTATTCAGGCATCTTGGCTCCATCCCTGCTTTTTTCTTAATATCAAGAAAAAGGCAAGGACTATTCAAAATCCCACTGTAAATATCTAGCTGTTGCAATAAAATAAATAAATAAAATTTATAGATATTTAAAAGGAAGAAAGAAGAATATCTTTGTCTCTAGATGACATGGTTTTATCTGGAGACACCCCTGCCTCCACCACAATGGATCCGAAAAAAAATCCTGGAACTTATAAGCAAGTATGACAAGATTGCAGAATACAAGGTTAATATACAGCATTAATTACTTTTCTGTATGCCAGCATTAAACAGTTGAAATTTAAGATTTAAATAAAAATACCATTTATCATACTATAAGAAAAAGAAAATCTTAGATATAAATTTAATAAAATGTATACAAGACATATATGAGGAAAAGTACCAAACTCTGATTAAAGAAGTAGAAGAAGATCTAAATTAATACGGAGATACTCTGTGTTGATACACTGGAAAGCTCAATATTGTTCAGATATCAGTTATTTTCCATTTGATTTATAGATTCAACACAGTCCTTATCAAGATCACATAATGGTATTTTGTAGCTATGAACAAGCTGATTTAAAATTAACACAAAAAGGCAAAGATCTAGAAGAATGAACACAATATTGAATAAGAGCAAAGTTGGAGGACTCACACCACCTTGTTTTTAAAACTTATTATAAAGCTAATTGTGACAACATATGCTAACTTTCTACCCTTTAAATATAGTCTGTGCTCAATGACTTTCTTCTAAAGAGTGCAGTATGAGAAGGATGAAAAAAGAGTAACTTTACCTTGGAAAAGTCTGAAAAATACTGTCTCAGCCATGTGATCAAGGTCAACATCAACAGTGATAAGTCATATTCATGGGACATATGTTTGATAGGACATGATGAAAATGGCACCTTTTGTGGTCTTCCTATCAAGAAACTATAACCCCAGTTTAATCATGAAGAGGAGAACATCATAGAAATACCACTGAAGGCCATTTTGCAAAAAGTGACCTGTACTCTTCAAAACTGTCAAGATCATCAAAAACAAGGAATGTCTTAGACATTGTTAAGTCAAGAGGAGCCTTAGGAGACATGAATGCCAAATGTGTTGTGGTATCCTGAAGCAGAAAAATATAATTAGGTAAAGATGAAAATATGAATAAAGAATGAATTTAAGTGAATAATAATCAATATTAGTTCATTAATTGTAAAAATATGACCATAGTTATGTAAGATGTTAATAGGAGAAATTGGGTATGCAGTATTTAAAACCTGTTCTATTTTTATAATTTTTCTGTAAATTTAAACTGTTTTAAAAAAAGTTTATTTTTAAAGTGACAGAAAACAGAGCTCTATATGTAATGTTATAAAAAAATCTTCAAACTAGTCTTAAGTGAAAAAAAGCAAACATTAATGCCATATAAAGTATGCTGTATTTGTGTGGTAAATATAATATATATTTTTTACATTCATAGACTATATCTGGAGACACCCACAGAAACTTAGAAAATTGGTCATCACTGTAACAGGAGAGAGACTTACTTATTACCGTGCATGTTTTTATGCTGCTAGGATTCTGAATCTTGCATATATAGTACTTAAACCAAAAATAAATTAAATAATAAAGAGTAAACATTACTTATGTAAAAATATACAGTATAATATGAATGTGCATATCTCTGAAAATTCAGAAGAAAATCCTTGTCTTGAGACTGGCTTCCCAGAAGGAGAGCCTGAGATTTACCAGGAAGTTTGCCAGGAGACTAAATGGGTATTTAGGAATATATTAAAAGTAATGGCAAAAACCACAGTTACTTTTGTACCAGCCTAATAGAAGAAAAGGGAAGAAGCTAAGCAAAGGGTGAATTGCAGGCAATACCTCATCCTTCACCTTTTCTTGCAGTGGAGCTCTGGTTTGAAAATTATGGCTCACAGTGTATTTAAACTCCAGGAAAAGGAAGTAGGTTTTCATTCATCTCAACCAGTTGGTGGTTTCTTTGCTCTCTTCCTTCACCCAAGTGATGTAAATTCCTGGAGACTTCCCTCTGAAAATCATGTCGAATAATCTGAGACAGTCACCTGAAAATAATCCTATATGAGGATCATGTGAAGCAAACACTCAGAAGCTAGAGGAATGCACAAAAATATAAAAGGAATTAGTGAGAATAGGACTAGTATTATCTGTTATAATGCTGTATAAAAAACAGTTTCACACAGATAGAGGCATAACTTCAGCACTTGCTTTCTTCAAGGATGGGCTATATAAGAAGAGAGTAGACTGGGATGGAAGATGAGATAAAAGATTGTACAAAATTTTCACAAGATTTAGAAAGAGTCAAAACAGTTGCTATTCTGTAATTTAATCAGTGAAGTATAGGGAAAACTCAAAGATATATTCTTTAATTTAAAAATAAAGCAAAGAGAATTATTATGGAGAAGATGATAGTCATGTTGTAATATAATCTTTGACTAGAGTGAGTGTTTCTTAGCTCAAAAGACACAAACAGCGTTTTATCAAGAAAAATAAAACCTGTATCTGTCGACACAAATGCATGTAACTAAAAAACAGATAAAATTAAAGGCATGTAACAAATCAGAAGACTACAGTGCTTTTATTTTTCTCTCTTTTTTTTGGCTCATGTTTACAGAACTTTGCAGCTTTTTATGGAAGGAAATTTTAAATAAAACCTGAACATATATAGACTTTTATTAATAAGTCAAAAACAACTTCTATAGAAGAATGAGCAACTGTTATAAACAGTTCCCTCTCTCTCATCACACGCATATCAAATAAAAAATTCAGATAGAAATAAAAAGTAACCTACTTAATATTACCAGTATTCAAACAAACACAGATTAATTCAATGATAGCTGCTAGTTTTGTCTGTCAAATTGGTAATTAAATCTTAATAATACCTGAATCCATGTGGCTCTAATATTGTACATCCAACTGACAATATCAACAGTGTAACTGTTAACAATGTTTACGATAGAAATTTGTTAATATTTACCAAAAGCTTTGTTAGTAATCAAAATGTGGAGATAAAATAAAAGTCTTAAAATAATGACTGTTAAACCATCTCTCTATATGAAGAAATCCTAAATTTAGAGTTCCCTTCCCTCATACCTCAAATTACTTTTCAAATAGAACTAGTGATTATATATTATTAAAAGCAACAAAATCTGGAAGTTACTATCAAATCTCCAGATAGGGAATATATTACCATCTTAAAAACAAATTCAAGAAATGTAAAATATAGAAAGGTCTATTTAGTCACATTTTTAGATATCTGTAAATAAATATAATATCATACATTCAATACCAGTGTTACAAGTCTAAGGTTTCATAATGTTAAATTAACAAAGGAACATTTTATAGAAAGGTGGGAGAAATAATAGGCCAAATATCTGAATTTATGTCAGCACCTGTCACTATCCATGTGACTCTGGGCAAGTTGTTTAACCACAAAAGCCACTGCTCACGTTATTTCTTGACTCAATTGCATACACTCTGGCCATATTTAACATACAAGGTTTCTAAGCAACGTATACCACAGGCCCTCATTAACAAAGTGATCTATTTTGGTCGTAAAATATTTTCCTTTTATTCTCTGATAGCTTCATTCTGTTTATTTTTTTATTTGACTCACTGAATCACAAAATGCACAAGTTAAGGATGCCTTTTCCATGCAAGCCTTTGGCAATATTGATGATATATCTTTCTATTTCTATCTATTATCCATATTCACATACTTTTCCTCAAGATTTCCAATCTCCTTTTTATTTCCAAAGGCTTGTTATCATTGAAGACAATCTTGATGTCAGTTACTCTGTAACCTTCTCTGCCTGTGCCTGCTTACATGACAAATTAAGCCACTAAACATCAATCATTATTTGTGTTATTAATTGCATTTTCATATATTAGTGGGTTTTCTCCTTTACTTCAGGTTAAACTGCATGAAGTCAGCTATTTGGGGCATCTTTCCATCCTTCTTCATCTTTTCAAAGTGTTTTGCATAGTAAATGTTCAATAAAATTACAATTTGTTAATTTTGAATGAGACAATGTACAGTCTGAAAGGGATGAGGACTGGCAGTCGTGACAAGAACCAGAGAGAAGATAGTCATGACATTTTTTAAATGTATTATATCTTCCAAAATGTTTTGAAATTTATCTTTCTAAATCACAGATCTGTTCAAGTTATTATTTAAATTCATCATGCCCTGACCACCAAAATGACAAATTTTACAACAAAGGATGTCTTCAAAAGGGTTCTTTCAAACATGAACGACGAAGATTGATATTATTAATTTAAAAAAGTCTTATGTATTAAATATAATAATCCATGTATACTTCTTTAATCAGAGTCCATCACATAGTAATTGTTCAGTAAGTATTGTCACTTATGTGTCATTATTAAATATTTCTATATATTTGAAATATCTCAGAAGTAGAACAAAGTAAAACTTTTAAATTTAACAGAAAATTTTTTCTCAGCATTAGCTAATTATGAGTGTTTTTCTAGCTGAATGCCTCCAGACAAATTTTTAAATAAAATCATATAAATATTTGAAAACATAAGATCTATCTGCTTGTTAAATAGCATATATTTCAGTATTTTGGCATCACAGTTAATAATAGAATGTATTAATATGTTTGAAAATAGTCTTTGATTTGAGTGATCATCATGTGAAATACCACATAATATGGAAAGTCAAATATAGATTTAAAATCCTGATGTAACTTCATCACTTTAAATATAAGATAGTGAGGCATCTTTGTATTTTTCCATTGCCAAACTTTGATATCTGCAGAATGTATTGCCAGCATCCTGTTCTAACAGGCAAGAAATCTTAGAATTATCTTTTGATCTCTCACCCTACTTTTCTGTCTATTCCAACCATAAAAACTGCTGCCTTTTCATTTAGATTGCCTCAAAAATTCATTTGACTTTTTAATTTTTTTCCAGCCAAAAATGACCTGGAACTTTGAATAAATATAAATTTTCAGAATCAACATATTTTTAACATCTAAATTTCGGATTACATAGATCAAGGTGGAGAATTTATCTGTGGATTTCTTCATAAAATTTCACAAGCAATCATTTCTGTTAGACTTTCATATTTCTCAATTAGATTAGTCTATGTCATTCTATCTTTTTAAATACTTCCTTTCATTATATAAACTAGTCATACATTGCATATATTATTTCAAACTGCCCATGTTCCTCAAATAGATTCTCATCACCACGTGTGACATATTTTCAAATTACACAGGATGAACGCCTAGTTAGATAAACAGAATGAGGTGCACAGTTATGAAAATATTCTTTGCAAAATCTTTGGACTAGAGTTAAAAGTTGACTGTCCATGGTAGACAACTTAATGTGTAAAATTTTAGAGGAAAGAGATTAGGCTATATATATACACACAAGAATACATTGAACAAAATAAATATTAAGTCAGAGATGCAAAATGAAGTATTGTCTACCTGGTAGGAAGGCAGAATACTTTATGATTGTTTTAAAAAGAATACTTTATCATTGTTTTAAATCCAAAAATATTTAAATGGCTAACTCCAATATAGATCTAAGCCCTGAGATTTAATGTTCTATGAGGGTTTAAAAGATTTATGCACACATTTGTAGATACATTAATATTTTAGTATTTAAACATTTTGAGTTAAATATGATTTGGAAAACATGCATCCTTTTCTCTAATTGGTAAAATGTTTCTCTGAGGAAAATCTTTCAATAATACTAAGTGTTATGATACAATAAGATGAAGATCTCATTAACACTGAGTTGGCATTTGCTATACTACAATACTCCCTGAAGACTCCTACTTTGGGCCGGGCGCGATGGCTCACGCCTGTAATCTCAGCAATTTGAGAGGCCAAGGCGGGTGTATCACGAGGTCGGGAGATTGAGACCATCCTTGCTAACATGGTGAAACCCTGTCTCTACTAAAAATACAAAAAAATTAGCCGGGCGTGGTGGCGGGCATCTGTAGTCCCAGCTACTCCGGGAGGCTGAGGCAGGAGAATGGCGTGAACCCGGCAGGCGGAGCTTGCAGTGAGCCGAGATCACGCCACTACACTCCAGCCTGGGCGACAGACAGAGCAAGACTCAGTCTCAAAAAAAAAAAAAAAAAAGACTTCTACTTTGAATTTTTTTCTTATTTGATTAAATAATAAAGTTATAATCATAGTCACATGAATTAACATGTTGTGTCTCCAGGAAATATAAAAATATATTGCTATGATATAGGATTTTTCAAATATTCAAGCCCTTTCCTTAAAAATGAGTGTATAGTGGATAATTTTTGACAAGAGTGTACACTTACGTAACTACCACCCCAATCAAGACCTAGAAAACTTCCACCTACCAGAAAATTTCCTTATGTTTCTTTTTACAATTCAACTACCATAATTACATAATGTATAATCCAGGAAACAACTGATCTGATTTGATTCAGTATAGATTATTTTTTCCTCTTCCAGAATTTATTTTAAAAATGATTCATACAGGATGCTTTGTATGGTTCTTACATTCAGCATAATTTTTATTTAATTCTTCTGTTCCCCAGGCTGGTCATGAACTCTTGGCCTCAAGCAATCCTCCTGCCTCTGCTTTCCAAAATGCTGGGATTATAGGTGTGAGCCACTGTGCCTGGCCTTAAACTGTTTTTATGATTTTATGTCATTAACATAAGTGTAATTTTTGTTTTGAGTTTACAAAATTAACATAACTTTCATTGTGTGGTTATCACAATATGATAACAACTTCAAATGTCCACTGGCAATAGCTGTGACTGATGGGCATTAAGTCATGTGTGTATCTGAGAGATTCTCTATTTGCAAATATTTTTCTACTTGCTATTAGAAAACAAGATTCTTATTGTTTTATTATTTGAAAATGCTTACACATTTATTTTTTGGAAAGTTAATATGATTAAGTTCTATTACATTAATACTATTTAATTGATTGTATATCATTATCTATGTTCCTAGTTAACATATACTTAAAATGAACACATTTTGCTGTTTTAAATTGGTTATTATATTATATATTGATATTTTTATAATTTTATTGTTACAGAGAATATTCTAAAATGTTTAGATATTTGGCATTTTTATTTATGTTATGAGGAAGAAGGAGAAAATCAAACTGCAACTGAATTTGAAAATTTTATCACAGTTATTTAGAGCTGACGCTTTAGCTAAGGATAACATTATTATGTCATCTGACATAAATTATTGCTAGCACTATAACTTTTTCCTTTGCTTTAATTGAATGTGGAGCTTCCTCAATTATACTTTAATAAGTATAACAAAAATACACTTATACTTTGGGCAAACCAAAAATTGAACGTAGATACAATGAATTTATTACTCAAATAAAATAATCATTATGTAAAGAAAGAGTTAAATAAGCATGCTTTTCAAAATTTGAAATATACTTAAATGTCAAGTTGTATGACATTATTATATTTGTTATAAATTTGCAGCTATTTCAATTTAACATGGGTATAATGTATCATATATAATTTTATGGGATGTAAAACTTTTCAAACAAAAAGAGGCCTTGAGATCAATATGTCTAATAATTTTACTTGGGAAGGGAAAGGACAGAAACACTGTTTTTGTTAATTTGCCAAAGATAACCCAACAACTTACCTCCAGAGTTGAGCCTCATTCCCATGATAGGTACAGAAATATGCAAATGCTAAAACACTTAGTAAATATATTATTTTACCCCAAATTATTTTAATATGCAAATATTTTATATTATCTTTCTCGATTTTTTAATGGGTAACAGTTTCGCATATGTGTGAGCTTAAAAATGTGTACCACAAAACTATTCTCGTGACTTCATAGATAGAAAAAAAGTCACATCTATTTTATAAGGTAAAAGTGGACATAAAGTTTTTCGTTTGATTTTTGTTTTAGAAAATTAATTCAGAAAGAAAATAAGTGGAATATTTATTTATTTCACTGGGCTAAGTATTTTCCTTCATCTTTATTTAATGACTTTATTTTTAAAAGATTAATTTGAAAATACCTTAATTTCATATTGATCTTCATAGTGACTATAACAGTGGTCACACCAAGGAATTGCAATATGGAGTTATACCTATGATTTAGAAACTTTTTAAAAGTCAAAACATTTCTGTACATTTAGCCACATGATATTTACATTTGATTTATTTGGTTTTAAGATGGTTGAATACGGCAGATGGATAATTTGTTGAACCGATATTTTTCATCATATAGACATGGCTTGTGAAGTTGAAAATAAATTTGATTTTCACCATCTGCACATAGATTTTTTTTCTTGCATATTTAGCACAATGTGACATCTAATTTGGTTACTAAAGTTGCTCTTCATATTTCTAAAGGCAAAGAATTATGATTTATTTAAATATTCTATACCATGTAGCACTATTCACTTTTGCAAAGTGGCCTTGAGTATGAAAAATTGAAAATGTCTTCCACATTAAAAGGTAATTACCTGTGTTTTATACTTGTTTAAAAACATTAAGACAAGATAAAAATGAGACTAGCCCTCACCAAACAGAAAGTCAATACTAAAGTGTTTACCTGGATCTTAACATATAATAATGTCAGACAAAAGGGAAATATCCTTTCTGTTACACTTTCTCTATCTTATATTGCAAAATAATATATTTAAAAAATTAATTTTCAAGTTCATCTTTTTATTTCCTATAGAACTAAAAGAAAAAACACAAGTCTATGGTTCAAAGAGTCAAATTACATTTTTTGTGGTATGATTCACACTATCAGTTTAAATAAGTTATGTGACAAAAATGGAGCCAGCATTCAAATGATTCATATCAAAAAAATTTCCCAATTTTGTAAATACTTGCTTTTTTGTCCATATGGAAGAGAATTATATAAAATGTGTATGTGTGTGAAAAGTTTTATCTTTACTTAGGCTATGTATTTGTATTAGTCACACAGATTCCGGGAGAGCAAAATATCGCAGTGGTTTATGTAGGATATGACTTAATGAATTCATCTTTGCTATCATGTTGTACAATTAATGGTGAAAGCAAATATTTCCATGATAGAGCAAAATAATTTTTTTTTATTTTATGAGAGTACTTGAAAATATTTTAGTAAACCAGACGTATAAAATATGTTATATGTTAAACTTTATTTCCCAATACTCCAATTCAAAACAACCAAGATATGGTATAATGAGTTACCAAAAGGCCTTATGCTGCAGTAAATAAACACTGGGACTTGGAGTCAGACAGAACAGCTGATATACACTTTGGCTGCTTTCCTTATTATTTACATTACTTTGTGAAAGTTGCAAAAATCTGTAACATTTCCATATCAAAAAATTCTGAATAATAACAAAACTGATCCTAGAATTGTTTTAAGCATGTGTAAAATGGCAAAATGCCTAGGACATAAAGGTGGAACATAAAAGTTATGGTTATTATGTAGACTCTATTGTGACCATGATTATATGTATATAAAGATTTAAAAACATATGATAATCTTTAGTTAGATTTAAATTTTTAGTTATGTTACACAAGTTTTAATTTTAAAAAAGAGCTTATCTTCTGTTATGAGCTGAAATCTAAACCCCAGTACCTCAGAATGTGACTTTATTTAGAGATAGGACTTTTAAAGAGGCAATTAAAGTTAAATGAGATCATTGAGGTGTGCCCTAATTGAAATGACTGGTGTCCTTTTAAGAAAAGAACATAAGGACACAGACACACACAGAGGAGAGACCTTGTGAAGACTGAGAGAAAAGAAGGCCATTTGCAAGACAAGGAGAATTCAGAAGAAACTATCCCTGCTTACATCTTAATCATAGACTTCAAGTCTTCAGGATTGTGTGAAAATAAACTTTTGCTTTTTAAGTCATCCAGTTGTTGATACTATGTTATGCCAGCCATGGCAAATGAATAACATTTTCTTTTATTATTTTATGGCTTTATGCTTTTTTTTTTTTCTTGCTAGTTATTTTTGTATTCTAATGGTAATAGTATTCTGCTACTTCATGGACGTTTTATTCTTCCACTTCCTTTTTTAAAATATTTTATTTACTACTCAGAGGGGGTGTAAGATGAAATAACAAGTAAATGCTTTTGAAAGAGAAACATATGGCTTAACTAAATTTAATTAAATTTTAACTAATTTATTAGATAACTAATTTAACGAATTACTTAAATTTTAACTAATTTAAAATTAGTTACTGACATTTAATAGCTATGTAAATGTGAGAAAGCCTTTTAGTCTCTATAGTTCTCAGATAAATGTACCTCCTCACTTGCAGGATAGAGATCATGTTTTATTTCTATCACTATGGACTAACAATGTGTCTGGTGCATAATAAAGACTGAATAAATCTTGTGGCCACAGAAAATGAAAGAAATATAATATAATAATTCATCTAGGATAGGTTTTGATGTGAAGCATTTTTATTTTGTACTTTGATTTTTTTAATTTAAAATTATTGCAATTTATTATTTAGAATCTTGAAGGTGATGTTTAAAATTTAAATTGCCTATATTAAAATATCAAATACTTATTATAGTAACATTAATTTTTTATTTTTTTAAACAGAATTTCACTCTTGTTGCCCAGGCTGGATTACAATGGCGCGATCTCAGCTCACTGCAACATCCACCTCCCAGGTTCAAGTGATTCTCCTGCCTCAGCCCCCCGAGTAGCTGGGATTACCGGCACCTGCCATCATTAATATCACATAGAATTTCAGTTTTTCTAATACTTAATTTAAAAATCTAGATTAAACTTTTTGTTTCACATAAGTTTGTATTTGTCTGCTTTCTTTGTAATGATAAAATGTGGAATATATTTGGATCTCACGTGTAACCTTACCCAGAGTAGTAAGAAGATATCATATGTGTCAACATACCCACAAAATATTAAATTAAAATATTTTAAAATTATACTTGTGTTATTTTCAATTTGGTGGAGAATTGTATAATAGTTTTGTTCATTTAATGATTCATCTATGTGGTTAACATTAGTCTTTGTCACTTGACTAAAGCTTCATGAGAGATGTAATCGTGAACTTTGTTCATCATTTTTTGTCTTCAGTGTTTTAAACAGCATCTAGCATAAAATAGATATTATTTATGAAATAACAAATTTACACACGAAAAAATATATACATATCAGCCAAATTTTTATCTTATATTAATGGAATTTTATATTTTTTAGATTGCATTTCGTACTAGCCATTTTTTAATTTAGAATGGCTAACCACATATATTTTAAAATAATATATATTTGCATTAAGTTAAACAAATTTCTGTTTGAATTTTGATTTTTCTGATTGTCTACTATGAGTCTATAAAAAAAGAAAAACCAGAATATGAGATGAATCCAAATAATTCAAATCACTAAAATTTTGATAAAATCCACCATTAGTTTATTGGTATAATATATTAATAAGTATAATAAGGATGATTTACTTTGTTGCTTATGTTGAATTTATACACAATTTTCAGATACTTTTCAGTATTTAAGAACATAATTCAAGTCATAACTAAGCAATAATACATGGATAAGAAAACCAATATTTATGTTTTTCAGTTAAACCAGATGGCTGGAGGAAACCATGCTACTTCCAACTTTTAGTGATGTATTCATGGCAAAAGTCCAAATAACCGGGAACACATCTCCGAGGATTATTATCAGTGGTAACCAAGTTTTGTCTGTTTGAGTCTTTCCTCTTTTGTCCCTGGAGAGTCTAGCTCAAGAGTTTATGGGATGAGGAAGCAGTATTAATTTTTGTTTTAAACTAATCTTGCATGGGTCTGCCACTCCTTCCTTTGCTATGAATGGAGTAGCACTGGAGAAAACCAGCTGCAGCACTTGTGAGGTAGAATTGCTTCTTTGGTTTGGACCTGAGCTGAATTCTAAATATTGAACATAAAAGGAGAAAGTGGCAATGTGGATAGGCCATCCTTTCAAGGCAGATACACATTCAAGAGTCTCTAAAAGAAAGTTCTTGGGAAACGAAAGTGGCCTGTTAGGGCAAGTGAAGAAGATCCTTATTAGAAGATCTGGTAAAACTGTCAGCCAAGATAATGATTTTTATACCAAAGCATTCTTGGAATACCAGGCTGTAAAGCCACTTTCTGTGTTAAAATTATGCACTGGGTAGTATTTTATGTATACTATATAAGCATATAAATATATATGCATAATCATATATTCTCTATAATGTATACATGAAGATTTTCCATCTCTGTGTTTTATATAAAATTTAAATAACCCTGGTATAAAAATACCCCGTTTTTTCATGCCAGATAAATTAATGTTAATTAAGCACATTAATTTCTCTGTTGATGCTAGCATTTTATGGAGGTGGTACCATCTATTAGACTGAAAAGTATTGTAAAGGTAAAATATATAAAATCTATTCACATTTGTAAATCTATGGTAATGTTATATTTTACTGTCCATATCTCCTGGCTTTATTTACCTTTAGAAAAAAGGTTAGGATATAAAAGAATACAATTCTGCAAATTTACTAAGTTGGGTTTATATCCTGGTCCCATTTATTTTGCTTTGGAAAAGATACTTAGCTAAAAGTAGAGGAGAATTCTAATCTTAGTTACATGACTTAATATCAAATATATTTGGAAGAATTTCATTTCTTCATATGAAACAATATGATTTCAATTATTGATTGATCTATGATTAATCTATACGGCTAACATTAGTCTTTCTCATTTGACTGAAGCTTCATGAGAGATTGAATCATGTTAACTTTGTTCTTCATTTTTGTGCTCAGTGTTTTAAACAGTATTTAGCATATAATGAACATTATTTATGAAATAAAAAAATTATTCGTTGAGGAAAAGGTACACATACATTTGTCAGTATTTTGAATCACTTCCCCTTTGTGTGAGACTTGGGAGAAAGAGTTCTAAGTAATACAATATTCCGTACTGCCTCATTCTATACCCTTCCTACATTTGTATCTATTATTCAACCTCTCTTAACTTTTTTTACTATCCTTAGAAAGTTGATATGTAGATCTCTTTATCAGAGTGCTTTAAATAATCAATAAGAGTAATGGATTGGATTTGAAAACAAGATGTATTCCAAATCTCATTCATTTATACACTTTGTTAAACAGACTTATTATATTGATGGTTCTCAATGAATATATTTTAATAACTAAATTAAGAATACATAGCATAATTCTGGAATGTGGTTAGAAACCCATTTGTCCAAAGTATAAAACTAGGCATTAGTTTTAAAATATATGAGACAGAGTGGGCCAAATATAACTGCAACTATATTATTAGCACACAATACACATATTCTAACTAATGATCTTGGTCAAAATGCACAGCAGTAAGTCTGTACCAGACCAAAAGACTTGTGTATTGAGGAATGAATCAATGGAAGGAATAAAAGATTGTTATAGTTTAAATACAGCACTTAAAAAACTTAATTTGTTCTAATTTATCTGAATTAAGTACTAAATATTGAGTTATCATATCAATAATGGAATCAGTTAAAATATGTTTAGTAGCAAATATTAGAGAACTTACCTTCAGAGGACACTTATGCTTTATATATTAAGGAATTCTCAGGATTGATTTAGCAATTTAGTATCTTCAAGATTTCAGTTCCTTCACTTCTAATCTTTCAACTTCAGCCTGGTGGCAATATCACCTTTCAAGGTTATGAAATGGCTGCTACAGTTTCAAACATTACATTATCATTCTTCAGCATTCTCAAAACAAAGAAACAAAGGTTGAAGGGAAGAACGGGGAAGGGAGCTAGAGAAAAAAAAGGCTTTCTCCTGGCCTCAACTTTGCATTTCATCAGAAAAGAAATAGTTTCCCTTTAAGTTGGGGTATTGGCTATGCAACCTCTATCCTAAAAGAAGTTATATTGGCTTAAGCATTAAACAATTAAAATAATTGTAACTCTTTAAAAACACTAATACAGGCTGCCTTTCCAAACCAGTTACTTCAAAATCTCCAGGGTATCAGGATGTCACAAAACTTCCTCAGGTGACTGTAATGTGCACCTCAGTTTGACATCCACCAGTTAAACCTGATTGTCATTCATCCCCTTCATCAAGGCAGTTTTTATCTGAATGAAATGGAGATTCTATAAGCAAGGAAGAAAAAAGAATAATAAAGCCAAATAAGAATACCATACAGAAACCTCATATAAAGTGGATCCACAATCTCTCACCTGATTTAATTGCTCCTGCAGGAAATAGAACACTAAAAAGGCCTTTACTCCAATGATAACATATCCAAGCCATTCCCAAAACATCCTAAGAAATAAAGCTTGAAATAGACTAAACTTCATGAAGACCTGAGCTAGCATCATGAGTAGGGATTATGAGTACTATGAATTACAAAGATTGTGTAGTTGTTTCTAAGTGTGGGCATGTGTTTTATGATTACAAGGGGGAAAAGGGCATATCTAAATGAGGATAATTTTTTTTTCATTTAAATTTCCCACGACTGACAGCAAAAGCAAAATGTCTGTCTATTTTTAACAGTGTTAAATAAAATATTGTGCTGAAAATCTTAATTTCTAATTTAAGATCTACCTTTCTGTCACAGCCAGATTTACTTTATTCTCATAAATGAATGGTGACTTAAATGTAAACAGAAATGATGATATAATTACAGTAATTCCAAATCTATACAATGTATGACATAAAATTATATTTGATGTTTCCATATTCATTACTTTGCAAAAATATTTGTTTCTATCCATAAATTTGTATGTGATTTGGTGATGATTGCAGCAAATACTTGCTTTAGCTTTGAAGAATGTATTTTGGCTTATTCACATGCGGAAAATTGGTACCACATACAAAATGATGGATATGATCTGTTACTGGAGTTAAATGTAGGTTAATGGAGAAATGATGAGAAAATGAAGCAGAGGGCTCAATAAAGCTAAAAAAGAAGAGAGAAAAGAAAAATAAGGGAATTAAAATGTTGCTGGCCAGCTGGCACTTGTACAAATGAATGCAGTGAACTATATGGTGTGCAAACATATTCCAAGTGGGTTGTAACAATTCTTGATGCTAGTCATAGAAAGGATAAAATTAGAATAAATAACAAATCAAATAAGTTAAAATGAAAGTCTTTCATTAACAATGTGCTAGTTTTAGAATATTACATAAATATAAAGTTCAAAAAGTTTTAAATAAAATCCCATTATGGAAAAAGAAAACTCAGAAATGTCAGAAATAATTACAGATGAATTTTTAATGTATGCAAATACATATTTTTCTGTATTAGTGACAGGTGCACTGTTATTTTTTAATGGAGTAAAACATTTCTTATTAGAACTTGTCAGGTGCTCCCAGCTGACAAATATGCTTAAGGAACATGTTTCAGCACAGCATACTCAGTAAGGTTCTGTGCTCACATTTTCATTTTAATCCATTCTTAAGTCAAACAAATCTGAAAATATTCACCTGAAAAATTAATAAAGTCGCATGCAGAAGACAATAGCTTTCAAGTAGTCCTTCATGTGCTTTTTAAAAAACAAGTGAGAAAGCATTACAGTATTAAAAATACAACATGTCTGTGGTGTTATATACACATTATGGCTTCTATTAATGTGGTTCATCTGTTTCAAAGTCTGTACAGCAAATTGCTTAGTATCACTTGACCTGTGAATAAATGCTTACATGACATAGTTAGTTTCGTTACTTGAAATATTTAACCCTGCTATTTCAAACAAATACTAAATAGAAAAGGTAGAACCATCTCTTAGAAATTAAAAAAAACTTTCTGTTTAAACATATGATATCAAATATATAAACTACGGGAATAAGAGAATGAAAATTATCTCATAAAAAGAACAAAACATAAATTTACAATATGACCAATTAAAAATGGAAATGTCTGTAATAGCATACTTTAAATTGCATTGCAAGGTATCAAAAATCAGAGTGACAATACAAATGATAAAGAGTTTGCTAATGCCTTTTCTTATATACAGGTAAACACAATTCAGAAATAGTAATTCAATGTATTCATCATGAACCTAGCCATCTGTTCTGTAAGTGTGTTTATTATTACATATTAATTTATCTCAAAGTTGAAATAAATGTTGATAAATAGCAAAGGAATAAAATAAAAGTTTATCTGTACCTGAAAAGACTTTAAAAAATTCATTGTCACAAAAATGGTACAAGGCACAATAACACTGTAGTTGAAATGGAGTATTCTATTTTTTCAAAGTTGATTTAAACAATTTGGGTAGAAATTACTTCATTTTATATTAATTCAGAGTTGTTTTCTGTTGGATTTGAGCTCAGACAATAGTTGAACTTTCTTAGTGATATTTTTGTATTTTTTTGGTATGTCTGTATTGTCTTATGTGATTAATTGAAAAATTAGAAAAGACAACCTTACATGCACTTAGGCTGGTACCATTTTAAAATAGAAGTCCTATTAAAGGAGGAATAGCAAGGGGGAAATAAAATTTGAATGATGTCTCATGAGGATCACTCTGCCATGCAGCATAATTAATAATTATGTTTATAGATTAAGTTAAAAATAAAACAAAAAGAAGAAAAAGATCTAAAACCAGAAAGAGTCAAAACAAACAAAAGGCTGTTGAGACAGCTCCTGGTTTATTTCATGGAGTATGAATATAATAAAATAAAAACAACTTTATATAAAAAAATACCAGAAGGAAAATTAAGATGCACTTTGAGAAATATTTACTATAAATATAATTAAAATTGTTAATGTTAAATAATTCTTCATAAAGAAGAGGAAACAGTTATAACCAAAAAATGACAAAATATTTTCATACAAAATTTCCAAATGTTTGAGAATAGGCTTAGTTATGAATATTAAAATATATTTTAAAACTGTATCATTTTGTTGTTGTTTTGCTTATCACTTTGACTTTCTAGCTTGTTCCATTGATCTATATGTCTTCCCTCATTTCAATGTCACACTGGCTTGATTGGTGCAAATCTATATTCACCTTGAGATATAAGTCCTCAATTTTGTTTTTGTTTTTTTCTCACCAAGATTGAGTTATCTAGATCCTTTACATTTCCATGGAAATTTTGGAAATAGCTTGTTGATTACTACCAAAAAAACAATGAAAGCTCCTGGAATTGTGACTGGGATTTTATTGAATCTATGGTTCATTAGTGAAAATTGATTTTTCAACAATATTAGATCTTCTTAACCATTTATATGGAATGACTCATCATTGTTTTAGATTTTCTTTGATTTCTCATATCTATGGGATTTTTTTTTTCATTATACAGATTTTGCTCACCTTGTGCTTAATTTATGGCTAACAGAATTACGAGTTTTGGCACAATTGTAAATAAAATGTTTTTTAATTTAATTTAATTTTTTCTGTTTGATGTTAATATTTGAAAAGAAAATTATTATATATTAAGCTTGTATTCCGCCATTATGCTGAGTTGTTATTTCTAGTTGCTGTTGGTATATTTCTTAGATTTAATATGTAAACAGTCATGCTTTTAGCAAACAGAGACATCTTTACTTTTTTCTTCCTGATCTAGGACCAGAAGAAAATGATAAAATGAAATGGGAGTATGTATCCTTAAGAGCAAATGTTCAATATTTCACCACCAATTATGATGTTAGCTGTAGATTTTTTATAAGTTATTTATTAGATTGAGGAAGTTCCTTGATATTTTCAGTTTACTGAAAGTTTTTAACAGAGATTGGTGTTGATTTTTTAAAAATTATTTTTCTTTGTTAAAAACAACCTTGTGTTACTGAGATAAGACTTCCTTAGTCATGGTGCAATATTTTTAAAATATGTTTTTGGGTTCAGTTACCAATATTTTAAAAGTATTTTTGTACCTACATCCATAGCAGTAGTAGACCATAATTTTCTTCATCTTATTGTCTCTGCGAAGTCAGAGGATTACGATTTTGCTATCCTCATAAAGCAAGCCAAAAGGTATACTACTGCTTTCTTTGTTTTCTGAATAAGTATGTGTAAGATAGGTATTATTTCTTTCTTAAATATTTGTTAAAATTCACCAGCGAAATCTGAATCTGAAATTGTCTCTGTGACAAAGTTTTTAATCATGAATTCAACTACTTTAGTAAACACAGGTCTATTAAAATTTTGTTTTATCTTATATAAATTTTACTCCATTGCAATTTTCAAGGAATTTGTTTATTTTATCAGAGTTTTCTAAAATTCCCTGACATGCTGGCTTCCAGAAGTTCTAACATTGTAATGCTCCATTATGCTTCCTCCTTCTAAGACAATGTATCTTGCCTCCCTTTCTCTGGAGATCTGTTTCCCAACAATCCTTGCTAAGTTTCACATGTTCCACCTTGGGCACACACACATGCAACAGCTTTGAGCCCTGATCTTAGTCACGGTCAGTTTAGTCTCTGCTCTAAACTTCTTCTGATTCAGCTCTCCCTTATTATTTAGTTGTCGTTTTGGGGTTCTGTGAGAATTATTCTGTCTCCTGTAGTGTGTATTATCTGGAGTCTATTAGCTGCAGAGCAAGAAGTACAATTAAGAGCTCCTAGTTGCTTATGGTGCTGGAGTTTGTCCTAACAACATGCACTCTTAGTCAAGAGTAAATGCCGGTTTAATGAGTAAATGATTAGAATAAAGTTTATATTAAATGTATGATCTATAAATCTCAAACTTTTGAAAACAGCCACATAAAAAACCGTTGTATATAAAATAACATAGAACTAGAAGGGGTAGAGCAAAGATGGGGAAGCTAGGCCTTTTTTTTTCGGAAATATACAGGCAAAGATGAATGTCAAATTAATTAGAACTAACTCTAAAACTGTTATTTCTTGGGTAGGAAATCTTGAGCTCATCATTACTCTTTGAAATTTCATACCCTTATTACAATGTGAGCTTAAAAATAATACCCATTTATAGATTCATGAAAATTAATTTAAAAATATATAGAAGTCTTATAAACATCTATATAAAATTAATAAAAATAACAGTAATTATTTGTTGAGGGTTGTGGATTGTGTGATGCTTCATAAAAACGTAGAATTTGAATTTAATCTTGAAGAAGTGATACAATTTTTAGCAGATGACATTATAATTGCATATTCAAAGATAATATAATAAAAAGAGGGGCTCCAATTTAGGATTTGAGGACCTAATAATCTCATTATATCTAAAGAAGAAAAGTAGGAACTTATATCTGGATAGCTATGTTTAGAACTGGGCGTTTATCTAGCTTATTAATAGACTTTCTCATCGATTTATTGTAAATTCTAAGAAAAATTTATATTTTTGGGTTTTTAATACCTATGACAGAGGTACTACATTTTGAAAACAATAATTCAGTAATTAAATAGAACTAATAAGTAACTGCAAATCTTAAAAGTCAAGCTAAGGTATTGAATTTGATAGTTAATGGGGTGATAGTTGAAAGGATTTTTTTTTTTTTTTTTTTGAGACGGAGTTTCGCTTTTGTCACCCAGGCTGGAGTGCAATGGCACGATCTCGGCTCACCGCAACCTCAGCCTCCCAGGTTCAAGCAATTCTCCTGCCTTAGCCTCCCCAGTAGCTGGGATTACAGGCATGTGCCACCACGCTTGGTTAACTTTGTATTTTTTTTTTTTTTTTTTTTTTTTTTAGTAGAGACCAGGTTTCACCATGTTGGTCAGGCTGGTCTCAAACTCCCGACCCCAGGAGATCCGCCCGCCTCAGCCTCCCAAAGTGCTGAGATTACAGGCGTGAGCCATCGCGCTGGCCCGGGTTTGTTTGTTTTTTTTTTTTAATAGGAGTGATGTATTTAACTATGACAAAGCTGTGTAACTTCAATTTATCTGTTTTTTTTTTTTTTCCTCACAATAAACTGTGTCCTTCCAGTTTTAAGAGCAAGGTAAAATTTAAGAATGCAGTTACTATCAGGAAATTGCTTTATTCATATGGTCAAATGCATTATTATCACTAAAACATTTTATAGAGATTATTATTTTGACAGAAATTATAACAGTATGACAAATAAGAGATTCTAATTATTAAATTACCAAATTAAAAAACTAGTTTCATTGTAGAATCTTTGGAAATTGATGTATCTAATTAAATAATAATTTAACCCCTAATTGCTACGGCCACTGTAAAGGAATCTTACATCCAATGTAGCCTAGATTAAAATGTAAAATATTTTTATAACATATAAATAACATTGGTAATCAACAGTTTGTAAAGTGTTTGTCTTTGATTATGTGAACAGGTAGTTTCCCTATATCTATACCACAATAATATATTCATATTTATTACTGAATTATCACATAATTATTAACATATATCTTCACTTTCTTAGAGAGGTCCTAATTTATGGCAACAGAAGACCAGCAAACTTAAAAATCACTGAACATTTAAATAGTTGCTACTTAACCTGCTGGTACTTTGGTACAATGGAAACAACAAATATGAATATACATATCCATAACCTATCAATTATCAAATTCATGAAGCGTTGTTTTGATATAAATGTAAAAATTTTAAAAATAATGTTTTGACTTTAAACAAATATTTAAAGTATACCTTTTTACATTTATATAATGTCGAAATATTCCAAACTGAAAAAAAACGAAAAAGGGAAGGGAAAAGGGGCCACAAAGCCCTATTTAGTCTATTTACTGTGCTTTCAAGTAAGACATTTATTATTTTAATAAATCACAAGTTTATATTTTTCTGGAGTAATAGAACACACATTTTCCTTACCTAATACAGATCTCCCACAAATTGCTTCCCTTTAATGCTTTTCTTTGCTGCTGACAAAAGATGGGTCTATTTATATTCCATTTAATTCATTTTTCAAAAGAATACTCTATCATCTTAATTCACAGAAAATAAAACCATACACGTTCCAAGCATATGGTTTAAACCACACACACACACACAAACACACACACACGCACACATGGAGAGTACTTTGAACAAAATGAAAGAACACTTGAATAAGCCATGAATAGGGAATTTCAGAAGAAAGCATAATGCTCAATCTATCAATAAAAGTACATTCTGCCTCTGGCAAAGCTGAGGGCAGACATATTTCGTATAGACTTAACAGTTTTGAATACTGGTTAGATGAAAATTTTATTACATTAAATGTCAGCAGAATAAACAAAAAAATCATATTTCAGATTGTGTTCATTACTAGTATAGCATATCTACTAAGAATATAGACAGCTCTGAATTTAGTCATTAAAAAGTGGTCAGATCATTCAATTTAATAAGCAGTATTTGTGTTCTAAAATATTAATATTTTAAATAATTTTTATATATGATTCTCATATAAAGCATGGCTTAAAATCACTTCTTTTATTTTTCTTAATATACATAGCAGATTGCTTATTTGGCTTATAGTTCATAGAAAATATTGAAGCTCCTGGCTCATAGCACACATAGAAAACTGCGATTCCCTCCTGTTTGGCATCACTGCCTCTCCCAGATGCCTTCCCATCAACTAGTCACACTGAAATAAAAATGATCTTTCAACATGCAAACATAATCATATACCTTCTATACCTCTCACAACTTTCCAAGTTGTTAACGTGCCATTGGCCTTGGAATATTACACATATCTTAGGAAAGGATCTCTACATGAACTAGCACTTGCCTTCTCCAGCTTCAAACCTGATCACTCAACTACCACCCACCTTCACCATCTTCATGATTTTTACTCTAGGTAGACTAAGTTTTTTACTCCAAGTAGACTAACTTATTTTGCATTTCTGCAGTTTTGTGATCTTTCTTCCTTATTTGGGGTCCATTTATATGTATTGTATTTTCTTCTGCAATTATTTGGGGTCCATTTATATGTATTGTATTTTCTTCTGCAATACTCCTTTTTGTATATATCTCTTTCACTTGAAAATTTTTTACTTATATTTTCTTTCTTATTTTATATGTCATTTCATCTAATAAGCCTTTCCTATTTAAAAATTACTATTTCTTTTCTCATTACAGCATTTATTATACCATATCTCTGTCTGTGTACTTGTTCTGAATTTAGGTGTTTTTTCAAGAAATACTTAAGACGCTTAACGATTATATATCTACTACCTAGAAGAGTAACTTGCCGAAAGTTACTGAATGTGTACAAGTTGAATTCAGTAGAGCTCATAAAGTGTCACCTTGCATTCTAAATGTAATTTCTACGAGGTTTTAATATATACTGTGCATACAAACACAGCGTCTTTGCTATTCATTTATTCAAAATATCTGACTTTGAAAAAGATTGTTATTTTCTATGTTAAACGTACATACCACTGAAGTAAGATCTTCTGATATGCTCATCTGTATTAATTTTTAAATATTCACTTTTATTTTACCTAAGTCCTCCTATAGAAATATCTACCTAGACATGAGAACACAGACATACAAGTTTTAAATAAATTTTCTAAATAAGATTTTTATCATTTTATTAATCAATTTATCTTAAAGACAATTTTTTAAACTTTGAATTTTATTCATATATAGTACCAGCAATAGGTACGATCTATAGATCTGAACATGCTGTTCCATTTCTAATGAGAAGGATTCCTATGGCAACAACAAACACATCATCAGTAGGACAAAACTGTCTTGTATCACCATTGCCTAATCACAGCTCAAATTCTTATTAATGGGTGAACAATCCCACCCTTAGTGAAGTCTGCTTCACAATGAAGAACCAATATTTTATGACGGAGTGCTAATATCTAAGGACCAAACAGTGGCATTGCCATGAATACTTAGCCACCACATTGCAATGATCTCTGTGATAAATTTTCTGACACCTCCTGCTTAAGATCCCAGTGGTCAGAGGGATCATGAAGATCATTGAGGCTCACTTTCACCATCTGTATCCACAAAGAAAAGTCAAAATCCATCAGAAATTCTGCCTTTCTGCTCATGAGACGTTTCTGTCTCCCTGTGCTTACCTTAAAATTCCTGCATTACCATTTGGAAGATACCATCCCAGTTTCCTAGGCTGAGGTGACTAATCCAGCTATATTTAGCCCAATAATTAGTGTGGCCAGAATATGACATCTATGGCCTGCCATGGGAAAAAAAAAAAAAAAATAGGGCCACCTGGAATTGTTCCCTTGGGAATTTTATCTAAGAAATTCTAATGAGCTGATTTTCAGGATTGATAAATTGGTGCATCTAAATGAGTCTTATGTACAAAAATTCCAGAGAAACCATGATAACCAACCCTATGAGTAAGAAAATTTAAATTTGGTAGAGAGAAAAATAGATGAGATTGCAGAGTGGGGTATGAAGGTCACATATAAATGAAAATAATCCATATACACAGGGAAGATAATTCTTTACCTATGGGCATGTTATTGGATAAATTCAGTATTTTCAAGCTACAGAAACAAACTATGCCTAACAAAATTAGGAAATAATTTATTGAAGTAGAGCACTGAATTGAGGAAGAGGCTGAAAGAAATAATTAAAATATGGAAATTAACATTTTATTTGTTAAGATTTAACATCCAGTACTTGGAAGAAATCACAAACTAAATTGATATATAATAAATATAATGGTAAAAATAAGAATAAAACAACCTGTAAAAAAGTAGAATTGATCTAAAATTCTCTTTTTTGGTTGTGTCTCTGCCCGGCTTTGGTATCAGAATGATGCTGGCCTCATAAAATGTGTTAGGGAGGATTCCCTCTTTTTCTATTGATTGGAATAGTTTCAGAAGGAATGGTACCAGGTTCACACTACCTGACTTCAAACTATACTACAAGGCTACAGTAACCAAAACAGCATGGTACTGGTACCAAAACAGAGATATAGATCAATGGAACAGAACAGAGCCCTCAGAAATAATGCCGCATATCTACAACTATCTGATCTTTGACAAACCTGAGAAAAACAAGCAATGGGGAAAGGATTCCCTATTTAATAAATGGTGCTGGAAAAACTGGCTAGCCATATGGAGAAAGCTGAAATTGGATCCCTTCCTTACATCTTATACAAAAATCAATTCAAGATGGATTAAAGATTTAAACGCTAGACCTAAAACCATAAAAACCCTAGAAGAAAACCTAGGCATTACCATTCAGGACATAGGCGTGGGCAAGGACTTCATGTCCAAAACACCAAAAGCAATGGCAACAAAAGCCAAAATTGACAAATGGGATCTCATTAAACTAAAGAGCTTCTGCACAGCAAAAGAAACTACCATCAGAGTGAACAGGCAACCTACAACATGGGAGAAAATTTTCACAACCTACTCATCTGACAAAGGGCTAATATCCAGAATCTACAATGAACTCAAACAAATTTACAAGAAAAAAACAAACAACCCCATCAAAAAGTGGGCGAAGGACATGAACAGACACTTCTCAAAAGAAGACATTTATGCAGCCAAAAAACACATGAAAAAATGCTCATCATCACTGGCCATCAGAGAAATGCACATCAAAACCACTATGAGATATCATCTCACACCAGTTAGAATGGCAATCATTAAAAAGTCAGGAAACAACAGGTGCTGGAGAGGATGTGGAGAAATAGGAACACTTTTACACTGTTGGTGGGACTGTAAACTAGTTCAACCATTGTGGAAGTCAGTGTGGCGATTCCTCAGGGATCTAGAACTAGAAATACCATTTGACCCAGCCATCCCATTAATGGGTATATACCCAAATGACTATAAATCATGCTGCTATAAAGACACATGCACACGTATGTTTATTGCGGCATTATTCACAATAGCAAAGACTTGGAACCAACCCAAATGTCCAACAATGATAGACTGGATTAAGAAAATGTGGCACATATACACCATGGAATACTATGCAGCCATAAAAAATGATGAGTTCATGTCCTTTGTAGGGACATGGATGAAATTGGAAACCATCATTCTCAGTAAACTATCGCAAGAACAAAAAACCAAACACCGCATATTCTCACTCATAGGTGGGAATTGAACAATGAGATCACATGGACACAGGAAGGGGAATATCACACTCTGGGGACTGTGGTGGGGTCAGGGGAGGGGGGAGGGATAACATTGGGAGATATACCTAATGCTAGATGACACGTTAGTGGGTGCAGCGCACCAGCATGGCACATGTATACATATGTAACTAACCTGCACAATGTGCACATGTACCCTAAAACTTAAAGTATAATAAAAAAAAAACATTAAAAAAAATAAATAAATAAAATTAAAAAAAAAAGTAGAATTGAGCATGGGAAGAACAAATTATGTACATTTTTGCTTTTCCTACAATGCTTCTGTGCACCAGACTGGAAAATATGCAGGTGCATTTGATTATCAAGCAAAAGAAACATACAGATAATCTTTGAAGATGATATAAAGAAATACATCAGCACCTAACCTATCACAGGAAATGAGCTACCTAGCACCAGTGGTCATGATTTTAAGAAAACTGAAACCTGAGTTTCCTAGAAAGCTAGAAAATTACTTTCACGTTGTTCATAACAGTAGCCCTATGTGTACCATTGCCCCTTGAACAACACTGGTTTGCATAGTACTGGTTCACTTATATTGGGATTTTCTTCCTCCTTTGTCACCCCGAGACAGCAAGACCAACTCCTCCACTGCACTCCTCCTCCGCCTATTCAATGAGAAGAAAATGAGGATAAAGACCTTTATGATGACCCACTTTCACTTAATGAATGGTAAATATATTTTCTCTGCTTTATGGTTTTCTTAACAACATTTTCTTTTCTCTTGCTTACTTTATTATAAGAATACAGTATATACCACATGCCACATACAAAATGTGTGTTAATTGACTGCTTGTGTTATTGCTAAGGTTTCTGATCAACAGCAGGCTATTAGCAGTAAGTTCTGGGGGAATCACAGATTATGAGTGGATTTTCATCTGTGTAGGGTCAGCACCCATAACCTCTGTGCTCTGTGTTGTTCAATGGTCAACTATAGACTCTCTCTCTCTTTCTCTCTCGCTTTCTTTCTTTCTTTTCTTTTCTTTCTTTCTTTTTTCTTTCTTTCCTTCCCTCCCTTCCTCCCTCCCTCCCTTTCTTCTTTCCTCCCTCCCTCCCTTTCTTCTTGTAGCTTGCTTTCTTTCCCTTTCTTTCTTTCTTTTTCTTTCTTTCTCTTTCTTTCTTCTTTCTTTTCTTTCTTTCTTTCTTTTTCTTTCTTTCCTTCTTTCTCTCTCTTTCTCTTCTTCTCTCTTTCTCTTTCTTTCCTTCTTTCTTTCTTTCAAGCTAACACAAATTCCCCAAAAGTAGTTTTTATATTCAGTTTGATTTCCCTGACTATCGAGTACCTTTATTGGCAAAATATATGCCAGTATATTTAGCTCTGGGTTACTAAAAAACATCTGTAAAAATAAATGTATACCTAGATACAATGAAGTAAAACCATAACTCAAGAAGCACATTATTTTTAAAATGAGAGAGAAAAGGCTGATTATTACCTATAACAATATGATTTCTAGGTACAATTCCTCATTAGCAATCATATACATACCAGAAAAGCATGTAGTAATAGTTTCCAATTGTTGGCGTTTGGGTGGGGGGAATAACACTCAGTTTAGATTTTTACATCTAAATTAGCCATCATTTAAGAATGAAGTCAAAATATACTTAATTTTTTTTTTTGAGACAGTCTCACACCCAGGCTGGAGTGAAGTGGCGTGATCTCAGCTCACTGCGGCCTCAACCTCCTAGGTGCAAGCAATTCTCCTACCTCCACCTCCCCTATAGCGGGGATTACAGGCACGTGCCACCATGCCTGGCTACTTTTTATTATTTTTATTATTTTTAATAGATAACAAGGTTTTGCCACGTTAGTCAGGCTGGTCTTGAACTCCTGGCCCCAGGTGATCCACCTGCCTCAGCCTCCCAAAGTGTTGGGATTACGGGCGTGAACCACCACACCAGGCCAGAATATACTTAATTATTAATGTAAAAAAAATTAGAGAATTTACCACTTACGGAACCTCACTAAGAAAACTATCATAGAAAATCCTTTACAGAGAAGAAAAATAACCCAAAGGAAAAATGGGTGGCTTCTAGCTAGCGTACTGGAATTCCTCATTAAATCTGCTACAAATGAGAAACAGAGGTGATTTTACAAAAAAAAAAAAAAAAAAATTACACTTGTTTTAACAGATGGCAAAAATTTGAGAATTCATGGATTCCTCCTTTGCCTAAGAAGTACAGCAGATATGATTTAATGACAAGCCTACACAGCTTCTCAGAATTTTAGAATTTTGAAAAAAAGTAAAAGTTTATATATCCAGAAACAAAACAAGAATTTCTGATTATAGATCTTAATACTTTCTCTTGTACTATGCTGGTATTTATTAAGAAAAGATTGTATCTTATCACCCACTAGAGGTTGTCCTAGGATGAATAAATTATCTGAAAATATTTAAGATAAGTTTGATTCTGCTGTATTATTTCTAAAGCATGAGTGATAACTAAATGACAAGTTATGTTAACAAAAAACTTTGCCAAAATTAAAGCAAATAAGTTATTTCTCATGAGCAAACAAAATCACAGTTGCTTTACTGATATCAAGCTGTTATTTTTAAACTGAAATGATTCAAAATTGTTTGTCTAAATGGGCACAGCCCTACGGTGATGTAGCACACAGAATTAGGGAAAAAAACTGAATTTAAAGAAAGTATTCCTTCACCACTAGAAAAAAATATATATATATGTATAAAGTTGAAATCAAAATGGTGTCAGCACAAACTACATGTCTGTTAAACGATTCTATCTGTAGAAATTGAAATATATTATTTGAAAGTGTTGTCTCAATGGGTAAGACTTATTGTTTAATTTCTGTAAGCTTTTAGCAACAAAGTGGAGTAGAATACACGCCTGTGAAGGTCATAATGGGAAACCAGAAGTTACAATACAAAGCCACCCATTTCACTGTGTTTTATTAACATGTAATAAAATTCAGCAAAGGGCACGTGGCCATTACAGACACATGTGCACTGATAGCTATTTTAACACAAGCTGAAGAATTGCACTTATATTAAAAATGAATTAGTTATGAGTCAAGCTTCAGTTATATTTAAAGGAGTTAATTTAGAGCAGATTAATCATAAGTGTCAGAATCAATATCATTAATTACAGAAAAAACAAGTTGCTAAATGTGTTATAGAACATTAGAGACTATTGCAGATGGAAATAGGAAAAAATAAGGAATCTATGGGTATTTATTGAAATATATATTATCTAGTTAACAAAATTAATATTGTTGAATTACATAGACATATAGTCAGAAATAGTAAAATACAATAATATAATAACCTCAATTCTGTTGCTAACCCAAGTCACAATGTGTAATTTTGTAATATATTTTAAAGATTGTTTTAGTTTTGCACAATTGAAAAGGAAGCATAAAAATGTAATTTACTGAAGTGTCGTCAAAAACTGTCTCTCAATTTTAAGTCATGAAATTTGAGATTGGTCCATTTCACCTTGGAGCATTCAGAGAGTTAACTCATTTTAATTTTCTGAAGATTACTGTTTTAAATTAGAAAGTCTTACCTGCTTGTCTGATTGAAATGTACTTTAATATTTGAATTAAATGTCCAAGAATTTTTCCTAAACATTCCTGTTACCACATTTATTAAAAAATAAATAGGCTGGGCACGGTGGCTCACGCCTGTAATCCCGACACTTTGGAAGGCCAAGGCAGGCGGATCACGAGGTCAGGAGTTCAAGACCAGCCTGACCAACATGGCGAAACCTGTCTTTAATAAAAATGCAAAAATTAGCTGGCCATGGTGGCACATGCCTGTAATCACAGCTACTCAGGAGGCTGAGGCAGGAGAATCACTTGAACCTGGGAGACGGAGGTTGCAGTGAGCCAAGATCGTGCCACTGCACTCCAGCCTGGGCAACAGAGCAAGACTCTGTCTCAAAAACATAAAAAATAAATAAATAAATAAATAAACTATTGGATTTTTTATATATATAAGATATATATATATAAGATATATATAAAAGATATATATATAAGATATATATATAAGATGTATATATAATATATATAAGATATATATAAGATATATATTATATATATATATCTACACTGTCGTTTCATTTACAAAGGAATCCATGTGATAATTTTGAACTGTTTGTCATCTGAGAAATCTTTAAATCTTTAGATTGTTTTATGTTGTGTTTTTTTTCCATCATTGCCTGTAGATGTTTCAACAGTGTTTTCATTAGTGCTTTTTTTTTTCTCTTCCCTTTACTTTTTACTCCATTTTCAAAGTATCTCTCTTATGAGCTAACTTGGTTTCTGTGCAATCTGTCTGGTATAACCTATACTATGCAGTGCCCTCAGCAAATTTCCTTCCTGAGTCCTTTGAAAAAGCAGCAAGATTGGTAACAAGAACTTCATTGTTTACTCTTTTTTTCCCTGCTACTTAAAATTTGGAGAAAACATTATGCATAAAACATTTTGTGTGACCACCCTCACTATGCCCCTTGGTATATTTTAGGGACTTATTCTCAAAGCCTCCATATGGCCTGAAGTTTTGCTAACATATCGAATAAAGGCTTGAAAGTTCTTTGCTGTGTGCCCCCAGTCTCTAAGACAAAATTTGTGGATTGCTTTTAAAAGTCAATTTTAAAACTTTAGCCCTTGGTAAAGACTAAATTAAACACAGCTTGAAAAGAGTTGAACATGACAAAATAATAGTTCAAGGAGATTTGGAGATACTGTCAGAAGTTATGCTGAAGTTAGAAGAAACAATTTAAAGGTTATTCCAAGGAACTTGCAGTTCTCATTTTAATGCTAATGAACCAAGAAATATTAGGCTAAAGGAGTTAATCTTTATTCAGAGCATTCTAATAAATTAAATGAAAAAGGTGCAGATTTGATGCAACTTGCAAATGCTGGTTTCAATAATTGTCACAACAGCTGAGTACTGTATTTATCTCATCAGCACTACTAAATTTACCTTTCTCACTAATATTGATTTTCTTTTTATCACATCATTTTAACAGCATTTTAGTCAAAATGAGGATTTCCCCCGAAGCACTTGGGGAAAATAGTATAATGTCTTTATTTATAGAGCAATATACTAAGTGATAGAAACTATTGAGGAGTCATTTTAAAATGCACTGAACTTACGCTTCTATAATCAAGAATTATCCCTTTGAAATACTTATGAATGTTAGTCTTCTTAATTTTCTTCATTCTAGAATGTTGGTTTTTCAAACAGTGTTTGCAAAATTATTACTAGTCAACAACAATATGTATTCTATTGCATTGTACCTAAGTAAGATAATTTCTATAGTACCTTCTTTTCTGTATTTCACTCTGAACTCCCTACCAATTTCCCATGAATCCTCTTCTTCGCATCCAAGGTCATTAATTTTTTTCTTGAATTTGCATAATGATAAAATGATACATCCAAATATTAGAATATGGAACAATTCCTCTGAACATTTTTCAAATGTTTTACTCAAAATATCTGTATAATACTTGAGTATAAATATGAGATTTCTTCTGATGTGAGGCAACCAGCCCATGCCTCCAATAAACCCAGGCCCTCAGAACAAAGTTATCCATATGTTGGCACAGATGTAACTCACTTTAGGCATACCAGAAATCAAATGTAATAAACAAGTATTTATAGTCTTTTCTGGGGTAGCTTAAATTTTTACTTCAACTTGAGCTTCTTAAGCCTTCTCTGCATATTGTCTCACTTTCTTTCATAAGAGGGAAAAGAAATACTTCAGTTTGTCATTGGTTGATTTATTTATAGTACTTACAATGTATTTGTAAAAGACATCACATTAATTTTATAATCCCCTATGTGACATGTTTCAATGAAACCTTCTTGGAAAGGTTCTTAATGCAAAAGAAATTTCACAGAGAATACTGGGGATAATAAATATGAAAAAGGAAGCCATTTTAGGTTTAGGGATAAGTGTGAAAGTGGGACAGGGCCTGCTTATATTACTAGAAAATAATTTTCAATTTGGAGGTTATAATGAACTATCATTTTTTATAAAAGTGACCTTTATAAAAAACGAAGAAGCGTGCCTTCTCCTTTAGCAAGAATATTGCATTAATAATTGTCGTCCTGCAATTAGAAGAAGAGTAGGCTTTCAATTCTTATAACTTTTCTCTAAAATGTTGGCACATGAAAAGAAGTGCCCTGGACAGATGGGAAATTAGCATGTCATAAAAATCTATAATAGATGGGCCGTTGCTGTCAATCTTATGAAACTAATTACATCACAATGAATTTTCCTGCAAATTACCATGGACTTACAAGGGAAATATTATGCATATAAGGCAAACAATAGAAATATTTTCTTTCAATATAATTTTTTAATATTTTTAATTATTTGCTAGAATAGAGATGTGTTTATTACTACTGTATGATAATGTGATATAATTTTTTTTCAAGACGAAGATGTGTGTATGAAGGCAAGAGTAACCACTACCCTGCCTAAAGGTCACTCTTTAGTTGATACTTAGCTACCACTTGGGCCAAATGGAAAATCCTTCCTTCCACACTACCACTTCCCTGAAATGTATTCAGTGTCCTGGGTCACTGAAACATGGATAGCCTATATAGGGTGCATTTGGTAAGACAACAAATTATGGATCAAAAGGAGGCATCAGAACTCCTTGGACAATTAGTGGTCAACATGCTTGTTGCCATCAAAGAGAAATCCTTATTAGTTTGCAAAAAGCAGGCAACTAATGTATATTGTTAGCATAGGTTATGTTTGGTACTCACAAGAATGGCAAACAGACTCAGTTCCTGAAGGCATCCCTGATCCTGGGAGTGCATTCTTAGATAAAACTTGTTGATCTCATGCTATTGTCTCTTCTGTCATATTAGTGATGTTCCTCTCTCTCCCCTTTCTCTAGTCTAGCATTTGCCAATCTCAACACTATTGTTATTTTGGATCAGATCATTCTATGTTGTGGAACTGTCCTTTGCATTGTAGATGTTTAACAGCAGCTCTGACCTCCACTAGCCAGATGCCAACATAACCCCCCACTCTCAGTTGTGACAACCAAAAATGACTCCAGACATTGCCAGATGTTCCCTAGCAGGGGGTGGGGGGCGGTTTCTGCAGTTGATATTCATTATCTAGCTCATGGAATTTTTTTCTGTCTGCATGCAATATAAAGATTTTCATCTTATATCTATATTGTATTTGCTTCCAGAGTGACAATAGTCCCCTTGAGGAAATGGTAATTTGGCCTAGCTACCTGAATTTGGGTGAAGAATAGAGCTGTGAGAATTCAAGTGGAAAAATGCAATTAAAACAATGAGTTAATGCTTAAAGCTTCCTGCCCACAATCCACTCATGCTTCCATATGAAAATACTGTGTTCACTACAATTTAAATGTAGAATCCATCGATTGAACTACAAAAATAGATTTGATATACAAAGTCTGTTTTGATACATACTGTTTTTTGAGCACTGCGACCTTTTTAGTAACTAAAACCTTTTTTATAGCTCAGAAGTAAATGATAAGTTACTCAGTCAACTGCAGCCTGAAAGTATTAAATAAAAAATTCCAAAAATAAACAATGTATAAGTTTCAAATCGCATTATCTTCTGAGTAGCGTAATGAAACTCATGCCATCTCTGTTTGTCCCATCCCGGATCTGAATCATCCTTTTGTCCAGCACATCCACACTGTCTACACTACCTGCTCATTAATCTCTTAGCTTTCTTGGTTACCAGATTGATTGTCACAGTATGGCAGTGCCTGTCTTCAAGGAAGCTTTAGTTTACTTAATAATGGCCCGAAAGTGAAAGGGTAATCATGCTGGCAATTCAGATATTCCAAAGAGAAGCCATAAAGTGCTTCCTTTAAGTGAAAAATTGAAAGTTCTTTGATTAATAAGGAAAGAAAAAAATCTTATGCTGAGGTTGTTAAGATCTACAGTAAGAACGAATCTTCTATACAGGAAATCGTGGAAAAGGAAGAAGAAATTTGGGTATAGTATACATATAATTTTGTACTATCCATGGTTTCAGCTGTCCAGTAGGGGCCTTGGCCACAGAGAATGGATGACTACCTTATGCTCAGTGTAATACATACTAGTTAATTAGCAATCTCTTCAATATATTTTTGAAAAAATATAAATGCAACTGTATGTGTTCTGTATGTATTTATGCACATCTTTATACATGTATTTATGTATGCATATATACATATGTCTATATTACATATATAATTTTCAAACATTCAACTTTTTACATTTTAATGACAATAGTGTTAATAAAATCACTAAGATTGAGATGTTCTATTTTGTGTAGAACCACTTCAAATATCATCTGAAATCATATCCACAGTACACCTAACAAAATAGATGTCACAAGATGATGTTATCTGTGCTTATACATCATTACTTATCCAGTATTATTAACTTTATAGTATCTACCTATACCAAAGAATATTTCACTTCTCACTTCTAGATCCTCTGTTAATGTATGTGTCAAATATGTGCTTTGAAGTTCATTAAAAGTAGTTAGAATCCTATTCACTAATCGAGATTACATATGCAACAGTGTCTGTCATGTAAGATGTTCCTCATGCTGATAGTATCTTCAAACATATATATGTATAGTAAATGGACTCAACAGATTTTTAACAAAGAATTTACTATTTATTAAATTTCTTGCAAAATTAAACAAGATAGCTGATATGTATTTATTCTGCAATAATTATAACGAAAAGTATGCATTCACATTCATGTATATTCTATGGGCATAATGTTCTACTTAAAAGAAAACATTTTAAACAGCTTATAATAAATATGACATTTTTTGATATCTTTAACACACGTTGTCTCCACAGAAGTAAAAGGAATTTTATAAAATCATTATGATCACTGCAAGGAAATTCCCACTTCTTATTTAAGTTTGAGCTTCCATATGTCCCTTTTACAGCATCTCAGAGAGTGTTGATGGAGTGAAGCACCATGTTCCTCACTCATTTTCACGTTTCACATTTTCATATTATCTCCCTGCCATTTGAATCACTCTATCTTGGGCTCCCAGGACCTCCTCTTCTCCTCATGTTTTCAAAGGCATATTTAAGGACTTTTTTTTTTTTTTTTTTTTTTTACTACTGAACATATGGGAAAGTTTTTAGTTTGAATTTTCTTGTTCACTCAATATTAACTTCTGAAACTTTAACTTATTGATTTTTTATGAATAGCTTATTTTTATTTTTAATTAATGATAAGTTAAAAAGAAATAAAGCTTTTTCAGGAAACAATTCCTATCTACTAGAGTTAAGAGTAAATATATATATATACATGCACATATATATCTCTCTGTGTGTGTTATATATATATGGACAGAGAGATACATATATGCAAATATATATAAAATGAATATTAGATAAATGAATAAATATGTATACATACATATGTGTATATATATTTCATATGTGTATATATTTATATATATTCAAGTATTTTTGTCAAACATTTATTAAAAATATGCAATATGCAAGATACAAATTAAGCTTATAAGCAAAATCTTCCCTGAAATTATAGTCATGCACCACATAATGACTTCAGTCAACAACAAACCACATATATGATGATTTTTCATAAGATTACAGTGGAGCTAAAAAATTCCTATTGCTTAGTGACATCACGGGCATCATTAAGTCACAGTGCAATTCAATACTCATGTGTTTGTGGTGAAGCTGGTATAAACAAACCTTCTGCACTGCCAGTCCTATAAAAGTATAACACATACAATTACGTACAGCACATAATACTTGACAATAAATGACTACTGTTGCCGGTTTATGTATTTACTATGCTGTCGTTTTAACCATTATTTTATGGTATACTCCTGCTTATCAAAGAAAAAAGTTAAATGTAAAACAGCCTTAAGTAAGTCCTTCAGAAGGCATTTTATAAGAAGGCATTGTTATCATAGGAGATGACAGCCTCATGTATATTATTGTCCCTGAAGAACTTCTGTATTGGTCAGTTTTCACGCTGCTGATATAAACATACCCAAGACTGGGCAATTTTAAAAAGAAAGAGGTTTAATTGGACTTAGAGTTTCATATGGCTAGAGAAGCCTCACAATCATGTCAGAAGGCAAGGAGGAGCAAGTCACATCTTACATGGATGGCAGAAGGCAAATTGAGAGAGCTTGTGTAGGGAAACTCCTCTTTTTAAATCCATCAGATCTTGTGATACTTATTCATTATCACAAGAACAGTAAGGGAAAGACCTGCCCCCCATGATTCAATTACCTCCCACCAGGTTCCTCCCACAACACGTGGGAATTCAAGATGAGATTTTGGTGGGGACACAGCCAAACTATATCACCTTCCCGTTGGACAAGATATGGAGGTGGAAGATAGTGATATTGATGATCCTGAAACTGTCTAGGTCTAGGCTAATGTGTTTGTTTGTGTCTCAGTTTTTAACAAAAAGTTTAAAACATTTTTTAAAAATTTAAAATTTACAAAATAGAAAATAGCTTATTGAATAAATATAGAAAGAAAGAAAATATTTTTGTACAGTTGTACAATGTATTTGTGTTTTAAGCTATATTATCACAAAAGACTCAAAAAGTTTAAATAATTAGTTTGTAAAGTAAAAAATTATACTCATTTAAGATTAATTTATTATTGAAAAATTATAAATTTGGTGTAGCCTGAATATACAGTGTTTATAAAGTCTATCATAGTGTACAGTAATGCCCTAGGCCTTCACATTCACTCACCACTCACTCACTGACTCATCCAGAGCAATTTCCAGTCCTGCAAGCTCTATTCATAGTAAGTGCTCTGTGTAGGTGTACCATTTTTATCTTTTATAACTGTGTTTTTACTACACCTTTTCTATGTTTAGATACTCAACTACTTACCATTGTGTTACAATTACCTACAATATCCAGGACAGTAACCTGCTATATGGGATTGTGGTCTAGGAGCAATAGCCCTTACCACACAGCCTAGCCCTTACCATATAGCCTAGGTTATAAAATTTAGGTTTGTGTAAGTCCACCCTATGATGTTCCTACAATGTAATTGCTTTATGACACACTTCTTGGAATGTATTTCAATATTTAATAAACAATGTATGACTATATTTGAGAAAGATTTTAAAGTATCTTAATGGGCCAAAGTTTTTTAAATGCCTTAAATGCTGACCTAGGTACTTTTTTTAGGTCTCCCGAAAATATGTTTTTTACATTGCATCAAAGTAAGTCTGCCACTGGCTTGTGGTTAGTTGTTCAAAATATCATTTCTAACATTCTGATAGGGAGGATGGAGTTAACTCTGAAAAGACATTTATTTAAAAATTAGAATAATCACAGTTAACTCTTTCTGAAAAGTATTAAGCTGACTATAAAGACAAAAATCTATAAATTATGTAAATTAAACTAATTAATTATATACATATTATGTATGTGTTTAAACACTCTGCATATTATATAGATATGCACAGGCATGCAGATATTATTTCAGATTCATTAAAGCAAAACATAAAATTTACTTTATGTTTCATTTCTTCATTGCTTTACTATCTAGATATGTTTTTAGTTAAATCCCAATTTTATACAAAAGCCTACTTTTTATATTCTGTTTGATTTCTAGACACTTAAATTGATAGAATGGGCCAAGTTAAGGGCATATTTGCAATTTTCTTTTGAAGAAAATCATGTTAAACTATGAACATATTAAAGGAATTTAGTAAAGCAGTGTAACTGCTTTCATTTAGTAAGGCTCAGCTAATTAAGGATGTTGTGAAGGTCACCAAAACAGATTTTGAGTTGATATGAAAATGCATATATTCAGTGCTGATAATGTTTACAGTTTCTTTAGAAAGATGAAATGTAAACCTATAAAACCTCCAAAGCCAGTAATGAATAATCAGCACTTTGGAAAAACCAGCTTTTCCAAAAACACTTTCCCTTTGTTTTCTTGACTAAATAAGGTTAATTTGCTAGATCCCCTCCATAAAGAGAACATAATCACATGTGCTAAAGTCATATTTTAGCACATGATTTCAAAATATTTAAACTGCTAAAGGTAATAACAGCCACTGGTTTGTTAATGTACTAGCATAGTCATGAGAGATACATTAGTTTTGTATAATTTTCTTCCTAAATTAGAAATTTAGTCTTTATGATTTTTAGATTCAACAAAGGGAAATTTTTTTTTGTTACTACACACTAACCCCTAAGTAGTTGTCAGTTCACCTTGTCAATTCTACTTAGACAATCAGAAATTTCATCTTGTGTTGGTTTGACACATACCTTCCAGGTAACTCCAGAAAAGCTGAAGCCAACCCTTGCTGCAATGCTGGGCTCTGAGTCAGTCCTGGTGATCTTAACCCTTTCAGGAGTTTTGCATTTGGGTCAGGAAATACATAATCTAGTTAATACATGGCATTAAATTAATGGCATTATGGGTTAGATGTAATAGACAACCTGAGATTGTCTAAAAAATTCAAGGAAAAATATTTTATTGTTAGAGTTGTTTTCTCTTTCCATGTAAATGTGAACATATACCTATCTAACTTCAGTAGCATCTGCTGCCCCATGAAACCTTGAGAGAAATCATCCTGGGGCTGAAACTCACCTAGAGGGAGGCAGAGCTGAAATAATCCCACAGAAATGGTTCAGAATTGATTTTTTTCCTGAAATTCCCCTTTTTACGGCTGAAAAAAATTCTGACAGTGATAGATTATCATATTGTTTTTATTACCCCCAGGGGAGTGATTAGGGAGAATGCAGCTAATAAGGTGGTTTATTTTCTTTTATCAGAATGGGTAAGAAAGCAGTATCCACATTCTTCAGAGGACATTCCCAGTGTTGGAAGCTCTGAAATAACTTTGGACTGGATCAGATGTGTGTTTGTCATAAATGAATAGTTGTTACTAAGAAAAGAATATACATTTTTTAGAATTCTGCAACTTGGGAGGAAACTACAGAACATAAAAGTCTTGCATTTCTCCAACTATGAAAGTGAACATGGCTTCTTTTGATTAAAAATAAAAAGTGAGACAAGTTTATTAGGTAAATTTAGAATGTTTATTGTCTCCTGTCTCCTGGTGAATTGAAACTTTTGTCATTATATAATGGCCCTTTCTAAACCTGGTAATACTATTTTTACTTTCAAGTCTATTTTCAAGACTAAAATTTAACCACAGAGGATTTCTTTTCAATTATCTTTTCCCAGTATAACTTCTTACAGTTCTTACACTGTACTGTTCACATTATCAAATATGATATCATATTTTAAAATGTCAAAGTTGAATTCTGCTGTTAATAGCTTCTAATGCCTTTAATGATGTATTCCACATTTTTCCTACTTTTTGTTAGTTGATATTTAACTGATTTAAATGTTTAACAATCATGAGGGCTATATTTTCAGGCTGAGTTTCTCCAGATATAAATTGTATTTACATCTTCTGAAGGACCTTGGACACTATCAATTTGATTTTATTTTAGCTTAATCTCTACCTTTTAGCTTTTCTGTATTTTACATGTATGCATATTTGGATCCCAAGCCTTTGTGATAGCAAGACTACAGATTGACAGGTGGATGAAAATCTCTTCCTTTCTTTTTTCCTTCCCTCCCTTTCTTTCCTTCCTTCCTGCCTGCCTGCCTGCCTGCCTTCCCTTTTCTCCCTTCCTCTTTCTTTTTTTTCTCTCTCTTTTTTAAAATATTTTCTTCTTGAGTGGATGCCTAGTTACTATAGACCCCTTATAATCACCCTGTGCTTCTATTTAATTTTATTTTCTCTTGCCCGTTATTATACTGGGCAAGCTAAGTTTTTGAGAAACCTGGGTTTATATCGTGATATGGTTTGGCTCTCTGTCCCAACCCAAATCTCATCTTGTGGCTCTCATTATTCCCATGTGTTGCAGGAGGGACCCAGAGGGAGATAATTGAATCACGAAGGTGGCTCTTTCCTATGCTGTTCTTGTGATAGTGAATAAGTCTCATGAGATCTGATGGTTTTAAAAATGGGATTTCTCCTGCACAAGCACTCTCTCTGTGCCTGACACCACCCATGTAAGATGTGACTTGCTCCTCATTGCCTTCCACCATGATTGTGAGGCCTCCCCATCCTTGTGTAACTGTAGATCCATTAAACCTCTTTTTCTTCCCAGTCTCTGGTATGCCTTTAGCAGCAGCATGAAAATGGACTAACACAATAAATTGGTACCAGGAGTAGGTGCTGCTGAAAAGATACCTGAAAATGTAGATGCAACTTTGGAACTAGGTAACAGGCAGAGGTTGGAACTGCTTGGAGGGCTCAGAAGAAGACAGGAAAATGTGGGAAAGTTTGGAACTTCATAGAGTCTTGTTGAATGGCTTTGCCAAAAATGTTGATAATGATACGGACAATAAAGTCTTGGCTAAGATGGTCTCAGATGGAAATGAAAAACTTGTTGGGAACTGGAGCAAAGGTGACTCTTGTTATGTTTTAGCAAAGGGATTGGAGGCATTTGTCCCTGTCTTACAGATTTGTGGAACTCTGAAGTTGAGAGAGATGATTTAGGGTATCTGGTAGAAGAAATTTCTAAGTAGCAAAGCATTCAAGAGGTGACTTGTGTGCTATTAAAGGCTTTCAGTTTTAAAAGGAAAACAGAGCATAAAATTTCAAAAAATTCACAGCCTGACAATTCAATAGATAATAAAATCCCATTTTCTGAGGAGAAATTCAAGCCAGCTGAGAAATTTACATAAGTAATGGGAAGCTGAATGTTAATCACTAAGACAATGGGGAAAATGTCTCCCAGGCATGTAAGAGACCTTTGCAGCAGCCTCTCCCATAACAGACCCAGGGGCCTAGGAGGAAAAAATGGTTTCATGGTCTGGGCCCAGGGTCCCCACACTGTGTGCAGCCTAGGAACTTTGTGCCCTGAATTCCAGCCTCTCCAGCCATGGCTGAAAGGGACCAACAGAGAGTTTAGGCCATTACTTCAGTGGGTAAAGCCTCAATCCTTGGCAGCTTCCATGTGGTGTTGAGCTTGCATGTACACAAAAGTCAAGAATTGGTGTCTGAGAACCTCCACCTAGATTTCAGAGGATGTATGGAAACACCTGGATGCCCAGGTAAACATTTGCTGCAGGGGTGGGGCCCTCATGGAGAACCTCTGCTAAGGCAGTGAGGAAGGGAAATGTGGGGTTGTGCCCACAGAGTCCCTACTGGGACGTCATGTAGTGAAGCTATGAGAAGAGGGCCACCATTCTCCAGACCCCAAAATGATAGATCCACCAAGAGGTTGCACTGTTCACCTGGAAAAGCCACAGACACTCAACCCCAGCCCATGAAAGCAGTAAGGAGGGAGACTGTACCCTGTAAAGACACAGGGGTGGAGCTGTCCAAGACCATGGGAGCTCACCTCTTGCATCAGCATGACCTGGATGTAAGACCTGGAGTCAAAGATCATTTTGGAGCTTTAAGATTGACTTCCCTGCTGGATTTTGGACGTGCATGGGGCCTGTAGCTCCCTTATTTTGGCCAATTTCTCCCATTTGGGATGACTGTATTTTCCCAATGCCTGTACCCCCATTGTATCTAGGAAGTAACTAACTTGCTTTTGATTTTCCAGGCTCATAGGTGGAAGGGACTTGCCTTGTCTCAGATGAAACATTAGACTGTAGACTTTTGAGTTAATGCCGAAATGAGTTAAGACTTGGGGGACTGTTGGGAAAGCATGATTGGTTTTGAAATGTGAAAACATGATATTTGGGAGGGGCCAGGGGTGGAATAATGTGGTTTGGCTGTGTGTCCCTCCCCATACCTCATCTTGAATTGTAGCTCCCATAATTCTCACATGTTGTGGGAGGTAACTGGTATGAAATAATTGAATCATAGGGGAGGGATTTTCCTGTGCTGTTCTTGTGATAGTGAAAAAGTCTCATGAGATCTGATGGTTTTAAAAATGAGAATTTCCCTGCACAAGCTCTCGCTCTTTGCCTGCTGCCATCCATGTAAGATGTGACTTGCTCCTTCTTGCCTTTCACCATGACTGTGAGGCCTCACCAGCCTTGTGTAACTAGAAGTCCATTAAACTTCTCTTTCTTCCAAGTCTCAAGTATGCCTTTATCAGCAGCATGAAAATGAACGAATACATATAGTTTTTTCATCTCCAACATCTCATTTGAGTACAAGACCTCAACTTCTTAACTCTATATGACCATTAAAACTAAGTGTGCTTTTTCACCCGTGGTGATGAAGAGGTATCTCACCTTGCAGATCACATTCTCTCTTTTAGTTCCCTTGAGGGTAATAACAAAAATATTGGAATCCATCCTTGTCAACATATTTAATGCAGTCCCAGACTTTTTTCTTACTTTTTCATCTGCATGTCTTATTCTCTGTGTCTATTAATCTAAAACTTTAACATCAAATTTAATTAAATTATTTCCCATCTTCTCAGTTTACACTTAATCTCATAATTTATGTAGCCATAGTGTGGAAGCAGAGCACAGTATTTTTATTGTCTCTTTCTTCATCTTTCCCACTCATTCTTTTCTTTCTGCATCTATTTTCCTTCTCTGGTATCAGCCTAGGAGGATGGATTAGGGTAGAGCTAGTGTGCTGCTTGTAATGTATAGCTCAACAAATTTATTTAATTTTGCATTCTAGTATAAAGAATTGGGAAAATACATTAATCAAGCCTTAATAAAATGCATATTTCAGGGTTATCACATACATTATAGTACTCAAAGGAAAGATGATATACAAATAACATCCATAGAATACTGTACATAAAATCAATTAATTGGCTGCAGCAAGTTAAAAAAATACAAAAATGGAAATAAAATTTTGAATTTTTGAATGTGTCTAGATGGTTAAAAACCTTAGGGAAGTAAAAAACTTTATTCCTAATGTTATTTCCTATTAAAAAGAAAATTTAGATTAGTTGATTTCTAATACTCTATAAACATATAATCATAATTTTGTTGTCATAAATTACATTTGTTCTTAC